>NW_011332696.1:0-300000 GCF_000001405.40 Homo sapiens
TTGCTCCTTGGCTACAAACCTGTACAGCAAGTAACTGTACTGAATATCATAGCCACTTGTAACACAATGGTATTTGGGTATCTAAACAAACCTCACGTGAAAAAGGTACAGTATAAAAGATTAAAAATGGGCTGGGCGTGGTGGCTCATGCCTGTAATCCCAGCACTTTGGGAGGCCAAGGTGGGCGGATCACGAGGTCAGGAGATCGAGACCATCCTGGCTAACACAGTGAAACCCCGTCTCTACTGAAAATACAAAAAATTAGCCGGGCATGGTGGCAGGCGCCTGTAGTCCCAGCTACTCAAGAGGCTAAGGCAGGAGAATGGCATGAACCCGGGAGGCGGAGCTTGCAGTGAGCCAAGACTGGGCCACTGTACTCCAGCCTGGGCGACAGAGCGAGACTCCATCTCAAAAAAAAAAAAAAAAAAAAGATTAAAAATGGTACACCTGTATAGGGCACTTACCAAAATGGCTGTTGCAGAACTCGAAGTTACTCTCGGTGAGTCAGTGAGTGAGTGGTGAGTGAATGTGAAGGACTGGGATATTATTGTCCACTACTGTAGACTTTATAAACACAGTACACTTAGGCTACACTGTTTATTTTTAAAATAAAGTAATTGAGCTACAACATGACAATGGCTACAGCGTCACTAGGTGATAGGAATTTTTCAGCCCCATTATAATCTTATGGGACCACCTTCATACATACAGTCGGTTTTTGACTGAAACATCATTACATTCAGCACGTGAATGTAATTGCGATGAAGTGAAAGATAAAGGTTATAGTTCTAGTGTATCCACAGTGCTTTAGGAGATGAACTGTTAGGGAAAGCCAGAAAAATCTCCACCACGGAAAAAATATTTGGCCTGCGTCTTGAAGGATAAATAGGAAGTCAGTACTCAGACAGGTGCCAGTGTTTTTCAGCCTGAGGCAGGGAGGTATGAGAGACAGCTGGAAGGGTTTGAGAATGGGTGGTGAGAACTTACACTTACTGGGGACTGGATATAAGAATGCAGTAAGACGTGGACCTAGCACCGTGATTTTTCGACCTGGGCTACACATCAGAAACACCTAGCGAGCTTTTAAATCTTCCAGGGCCCAAACCACATTGTGAACCAATTAAATCAGGACGTCTGGGGCTAGAAGCCAGTCATCAGTATCTTTTTTTAAGCTCCCAAAGTGATTCCAATGTGCTGCCAAGTCTCAGAACCACTAGTCTAGAAAGGAGGGATAAGGATTTTCAGCAGCCCCCACAGAACCGGCCCTCCTGGTGACCCTGCAATCCTGGCACACACACCCCACCCCGCCTGGGAGAAAGACCGGCCACACCACAGTCATCGGCTGTTTCCTGCTGCTCCTTTCCTCCCACCAGCATTTTACTCTGAAATAGTGGTTCTCAAAGTGTGGTCTCCAGACTGTAGCATCAGCCTCAGGGGGAAATTCTTAAAAATGCAAATTTCCCAGCCGCACCCTGGACGCATTCACCCAAAAACTCTGGGAGTGGAGCCCAGCAACTGAGCCATGCTAAGGTTGGTGAGCCGCTGCTCTGGAACATTGATCCCTCCCAAACTGCAGCAAAGCAAGCACCTGGGTGTAGCTCTGGCTGTGTAGGTGCTACTACAATCTGCTGGAGTCACTGCTTGTCGGCAGAGATGCCGTGGGAGCTGGCCTGGGTGCCTCCACGTTGGCCGTCACCACCAGGCAGTGGCCTTTGGCCTGGAATCGAAGGTACCAGAGGGCTGATAGCTCAGTTTTTTTATGGCACCAAGAAAAGACTTTCAGATTGGAGGTATGGGATTTTCTTTATTTTTTAATCCTCTTTTAATATAAAGTGGCCCCTTAGCAAACTTTCAAGATATTTCACATCAGAACTGGCCGGGAAATCCGGCATGTGGACAGACACGGATATGCCGTGTGCATTTTTCCGTTGGAGGAAGAGGGTAGGCTTGGGTGCTGGAGGGTGTTGCCTGGGGGCGGAGCGAGAAGGAAGAAAGGGCGCTGCTGGTTCACACCTCACCCATGCCCTCCTCTCAGGCCCCAATCAGGATGGAATTAAAAGACCCTGGGAGGAAAATAAGGAAAGCAACAAAGGAAATGAGTTCCCCATACAGAAAGGGAAATTGCCTTTCCCGTTAAGGTCAGACTGGTCCGAAGTAAAGGACTGGTGCGCCTTAGCAACCGCCTCTGCTGAAGCCCTAACGCTGGAGCTCTTTCGCCCTCGCAGAATAACCGGGACTTTCTTGCAGCCGGAACCAGCCACGTCCTGATTCCACACTCCCTTGAGGAGCCAGCCAGCTCCACATTTACTCAAAGAATCCGAAGGGCACCAAGTGGATGCTCTGCCACACGATTGAAGAGGGCAAGCTGTCTGGGGGGTTTTCCACCTCTTTTCAACTCAACTATTCTGAGCTGAAGTACTGGACCCGTTTTGTTTTTCCTGTTTTTTCCTGCTTCGGTAAATCTGGAAAAATCCTGCAGGTCTGAAAAACTGTTGGACTTGACAGCGTGTGTGTAGCGCCACCTGGTGACCACAGCTTATCAAAACAGCTTCCTTCTGGGGCTCTTGTGGATGTACATCAAAGGCTCCAGCTTCCAGACAGGTACACATCCTGTTCTCACGCCCGGCCCACTTTCCCGTGGGAATGTCAGCCACTCTGATTTGCCTTGGCTGAAAACCTCCTGTCTTTGCATGGAAAAAAACACAAATAATATGAACAAGCAACAGAGTTTTCTTTCTCTCTTAAGTAACCAAGCATTTAAAATCTTCTAAAGCACACATTTCCCTAATTGAGAAAGGAAGCAGAAGAAAAATTTCTGGCTGAAATTATAAATCATAATAAATGGTCGGAAATACCTTCTCCCTTAGATTCCTGGGGTCCTAGTGTAGAGGAGACTTCAGTTGCCCTTGACACTACAACATCCTGACTAAAAGCCTGTTTCCAAGGTGATATTTGATAGACATGAAGGACCCAGGTGGAAAAGAAGGTAGTCTGGACGGCACGGCAAGGAGTGGAACACGCAGGCTATGAGGTGTCAGCAGAAATCAGTTCTGGTCCTGGCACTGCTACCAACTTGCTGTGTGACCTTGGGAAGTTACTTAAGCTTTGTGGATCTCAATGCCCCAGACTCGTTAACTTCTTTACTATTTTTTCCCATAAATTCAGTGTTTCTGAAAGATGTTGCCCACCAGAATGCATCTCTAAAATAGGAGCTTAATAAGCTTTCTGTCTTGAGGGATCAGACGTATAAATGTCAGGCAGGCCTTCTGATGATCATGATGCAACCAGAGTTACCACAGTGAGTCCATATCACAGACAAAGGCGAAGACACTTGATCCCTTCTTAACCTGGTCTCCCACCCATGAATGATTTTTGTTAGGATTTCAGCATGTTGAAACTAACCCACAGACCCTAGTTACAACTTTCTCAGGGCCTGAGAGCTGGGGAATCCCAGTTTGGGAACCAAAAAACTAGAAAATCTTGAGGGCAACTCTGGCTGTCATGAACTAAAACAGAGCAAAGATGGAAGCCTGTGGTATGTGCGTGCAGGTAGAATCTCGATTTGAGAAATGGCGTTACAAGGAATTAACACTTCAGAAATGCCAGCTCTGTGCCAGGATTTTTTTATTTTATTATGTATATTTGTCATGGACAACATGTTTTGGAATATGTATACATTGTGGAATGGTTAAATAAAGCTAATTACATATGCATGTGCTCACAAAGTTATCATTTTAGGGGTGACTTAAAATCTCTCAGTGATTTTCAAAAATATATGTTATTAATCATAGTTGCAATGTTGTACAATAGATCTCTTGAACATATATTCCTCTTGTCTAACTGAAATTTTATGTTCTTTGACCATCTCCCCAACTGCCCCCCAACAAGCCTGAAAGCCCTGGTAACCCCTATTCTACTCTCTACTTCTTTGAGTTCAACTTTTTAAGAGTCCACATATGAGATCATGCAGTATTTGTCTTTCTGTGCCTGACTTATTTCACTTAGCACAATGTCCTTTGGGTTCATCTATGTCACAAGCAACAGGATGTCCTCCTTTTTAAAAGACTGAATAGTATTCCATGGTGTGTTTTCTTTATCCAACCCCATTTTCTTTATCCATCCATCCGTTGATGAACACTTAAACACTTAGTTGGTTTCAAATCTTGGCTATTGTGAATAGTGCTGCAATGAACATGGCAGTACAGATACCTCTTCAACATACCAATTTTATTTCCTTTGGATATATATACCCAGGAGTGGGATTGCTAGATCATATGGTAGTACTATTTTTAATTTTTTAAGGAACCTCCATACTGTTTTCTGCAATGGCTGTGTTAATTTACATTCCCACCAGCAGTGCACAAGGCTTCCCTGCTCTCCACAACCTCGCTAGCATTTGTTATCTTTCATCTTTTTGATAACAGCATTCCAACAGGTATGAGGTGATATCTCATTGTGGTTTTAACATGTATTTCTCTGATAATTAGTGCAGAAGTTTTAGATACAGAATCACAGTTAGTCCTGACAATAATCTCTAAAATACCCATGCAGATGGGGAAAGAGCTGCAGAGAAGTTAAAGAAATTGTCTGCACCTTACAGCTGAGACCAGAACCAGGTCTGTATAATTTCAGAGCACATAATCTTTCAAAGTAACCTAACAAAATCACAGCAACTTTTAGGTTCACAGAGAACAGGCCAAAAAAACAAACAAACAAAAAGAAAGAAATTATAGTAATTTCCAGGTATGAACCAGTAATCCAAACTAAACATATTTTGTTGAATGAATATCCTGGATTCTACTATGTTTCTCCAAGTCCCCACTGTCTTAAAACATAGCATTTGGGGTTCAGTAGTTACTGATAAACCTTTTGCATATCTATGCACTGTTAGTTCTTTACCCTACACATTATTTTATTGTAGTAAAGCCAATTTTCTGACATTTATCTGAAAGCAAACTGTGAAGTACTTCCATTCTACTTCCTGGTGATTTTTAGTGACCTGGTGCCATTTGAACGTATGTGTCCTCCAAAATTCGTATGTTGAAACTTAAACCCCAAAGCAATGGTATTAGAAGGTGGGGCATTTGGAAGGTGATTAGGTCATGAGGCCGCCACCCTCATGTGAATGGGTTTAGTGCCTTTATAAAAGGGCTGGAAGGAACTAGCTAGGCCCATTGCCCTTCCATCTCTTCTGCCACATGAGGGCGCAGTATTTATCCCTTCTGCTCTTCCACCTTTTCCACCATGTGAGAACACCAGAGAAAATACCAATCTGTGGCCAGGCGTGGTGGCTCACGCCTGTAATCCCAGCACTTTGGGAGGCTGAGGTGGGCGGATCACTAGGTCAGGAGATCGAGACCATCCTGGTCAACATGGTGAAACCCCATCTCTACTAAAAATGCAAAAATTAGCTGGGCATGCTAGTGCGCTCCTGTAGTCCCAGCTACTCAGGAGGCTGAGGCAGGAGAATCGCTTGAACCCGGGAGGCGGAGGTTGCAGTGAGCCAAGATTGCACCACTGCACTCCACTCTGGCAACAGAGCGAGACTCTATCTCAAAAAAAAAGCAAGCAAGAAAATACCATCTGTGGGACAGGCCTTCACTAGACACCAAATCTGCTGACACTGTGATCTGGGACTTCCCAGCCTCCAGAACTGTGAGAAATAAATCTCAACTGCTTATGAATTACCCAGTCTGTGGTGTTTTGCTATAGCAGCAGGAACAGACTAAGACATTCAGGGTAATGTGTCATTTCAAGACATGAAAGCTCAGTTCTGTAATATTTTCTTCTCTTATTCCTTTGATAATTTTCTTCTACCCATCATCTGTTTTCTCTTTCTGAAACTTCTACTAGTTAAATATTAAACAACTCTGGTTTCTTAACCTTTCTTGTGTATATTATGATTCAACTAGGATCAAAAAAATATCTAATTAAACAGTAGCTTAAACAAATTAGGGGTTTTTTTTGTTTTTGTTTTTGTTTTCACACAAGAAGTCAAGAAGTCATTGGACCAGTGTTATTTCAGAGGCTCAGGAATGTCAGGGCAAAAATATCTGGAACTCTCTTGGTCTCTTACCCATGGCTACAAGATAGCTGCTGCAGCTCCATCCATCCCATCCACATTCAAGGCAGAACTAAATGAGCAGCAGAAGGAAGCAGAAAGGTTTGTATTTGTATCAGAAGAATAAAGCCTTTCCAGAAATTTTCTACAGACTTAAACTTATGACTCCTTGACCAGAAATGTATCAAAAGGCAAATTTAATTACAGGAAAGTCTAAGAAAGGAAGTTTTAGTATCCCACCATGAAAGTGCAGGAAGACAAGAGAAAGGAGGGTTGTAATGAAGGAATGAGACAATCCAGTGCCCTATTTTCTTTTTTCTTTTTTTTCTTCTCTGAGACAGAGTCTTGCTCTGTCCCTCAGGCTGGAGTGCAATGGTGCCATCTCAGCTTACTTTAACCTTCGCCTCCCAGGTTCAAGCGATTCTCCTGCCTCAGCTTCCCGAGTAGCTGGGATTACAGGTGCCCACCACCACGCCAAACTAATTTTTTTGTATTTTTAGTAGAGACAGGGTTTCGCCATGTTGGTCAGGCTGGTCTTTAACTCCTGACCTCATGTGATCCACCTGCCTCGGCCTCCCAAAGTGCTGGGATTACAGGTGTAAGCCACCGCACTGGGCCAGTGTCCTATTTTTGTCCTTTTTTTTTTTTTTTTTTTTTTTTTACTTCATGCAAGAATTCCTCAATTTTATCTTCTAAACTTTCTGTTGATTTTTTTTTGTTTCTGCCCTAATTATTTTAATTTCTAAGAGTGTTTTCTTCTGATATTTTTTGTTGTGTTGTTTTAATAGCTTCCTATCTTGTTTCATAGCTGTAATACCTTCTCATCTCTCTAAAGATATTTATAACTTCTCTTTAAGTCCATTTTGTTTTTTGCCTTTTCCTCATAATATTTTCTTTTTCTTCAAAATTGATAGCTCTCCCCACACATAGACATTTTAGCCTCTGTCTTCTATTTGGGTAGCGTCCCTCAAAAGTCTGATGATCTGGGCTGTTGATTCATACATAAATATGAGACACCAAGAAGTTGTTTGGAGGAGCTGTGTGATTAAATTAGAATTGTCCCCTGGCAGCGTGCAGAGTGATCAGGTGTTGAGCCAGCTCTTTCATGGGGCAGACCCCCACAACCAGTGTCATTATGTGTGAGTATTTTCTCTGGATTTACTGAGTTTTTCCATTGATTTTCCACTCTGGTCTTCAATATAATGGAGTTGGAGACCAGGGTCCAAGCAGTAATTCCACTGCCATAGTGGGAGCAGGGAGGATGGTGGGAGTACTCTGAGCCGAAGACTCTGGTCAATTTCTCCAGAGAAGGAACTTCGTGTTCTACAGAGGTTAGAGAAAGGTCATACTCTGATGGTGTGGATTAGAGGTCTAAAAGATCCTTTGAGAAACCATCAAATAATCTCTCTGTCTTCATCTCCATGATCTTGTCCTCCTTTGCCCCTTCCACTGTACTGGTGTCCCCAATTTCAAAAGGTTTCAGGTGTTCTGTTGAACAAATCTTTTGTTTCTCATTACTCTTCCCTTCCTGAGATACGTGGGTTTCAGCCTCCGCTGCTAAGTGAGTTACCATTCCTCAAACCACTTTTCAGCTTCTCTACTCTTCTCTCCCTCCAATTCTCTCTGTCCTTATGAGTTTATGCCTTTTTAGTCCTTCATTGTAATTTTGGACAGGGAGGAGAGGGTGGAAATGAAGCTCAGATATATGTAAGTATTGAATCTGCCATGCTAAACGGGAAGTCTACACATATTTTTTTAATATTTCCAATTTCACAACACAATTCCTCCAAAAAAAACTTATGGAGCTTTTTATTATGAATGTGTCACTGACATTCAGTCATAATCTATCTTAGCAACGATATAGGCACATACCAGACTGAAAAGATTTGACAAACGGTATTCTGAGAAACCCACATTTGGTCAATAATCAAGGAAATAATTTGTTAAAAAGGAATAAGATGAAACAAATCCACATTGCGTTTGAGCTCTATAAGTCAAAGATACAGTTTTAAAAAGTAAACTCAAGTAATCCAATATTACAAGATCTAGAGGGTCAGGACAAAGTGAGTTAGGCTTGCACATCAAAGAAATAGCTAGGCAACTACCAAAAATGTTTCCAGGTGAAATCAAGTTGCAAAATTGTATAAACAATCTTGAGATAATTAAACAAAAGAAAATATATTTTCAGATGTTAAGGGCTGCAGAGGGAAAAAGAGCGACTCTATATAGAGAAAATTAATATACTGGAGCTTATCTCCTAAGAATGGCTTCTGAAGCATAAGGTGTTTTTTTTTGGTTTTTTTTTTTTTTGAGAGTCTCACTCTTTCACCCAGGCTGGAGTGCAGTGGCATGATCTTGGCTAACTGCAACCTCTGCCTCTTAGGTTCAAGTGATTCTCGTGCCTTAGCCTCCTGAGTAGCTGGAATTACAGGCACGTGCCACCCCACCCAGCTAATTTTTGTATTTTTAGTGGAGATGGGATTTCACCATGTTGGCCAGGCTGGTCTCAAACTCCTCACCTCAAGTGATCCACCCACCTCAGCCTCCCAAAGTGCTGGGATTACAGGCATGAGTCACCATGCCCAGCCTGAAGCATACATTCAATCTAACAAGTCTTCTAGGTATTTGTTCTACAGACACAGTTACCCAAGTGCTGAATTGCATACATTCAAGGATATTTATTTTGGAGTATTTTAAATCATAACACAAAATGGGAATATTCTATAAATATTTCAATAAGGTCTGCCAGACCCATATATCCAGTAGCCATGGGAATGATATCTAAGCTGTGAGTGAAAACCAAAGGATTAAAAACATGGGCATCCAAGAGAAGGTCAGGGTTCAACGCCAGCACGGTCTTTGACACAGCGGCTAGCAAAGATTCATTGGTCTGTGCACCATTTCCAGCAGCTATACTCCAGAGTTGCTGGTGCTCACCATCTCTTCACTTCTCTGCCTGGTATTTAGAAATAAGGCTGATCTCCTTACAGTGAATAATTCTCTGGTGCAGGCCACGAGAGGAGCCTGGACTTCGTCCTCCTTGTGGCAGTAAAGAGGAGCCTCTCCCCTCTCTTCTGGAATGGTATCAGAGGAGCTTAGTAGAGACTCGAGATTTTCATTATTATCCAAAGGTCACAAGGCCACCCCCACCATGATGTCATTGGAGACTACCTGGAGAGGCTCAAGGACCCGTGAATCTATAACAAAAGATCTAACATTTATGTCCTCAGACTTCCAAAAGGAGAGAAGCAAAAAGACATAACCGAAAAAGTATTCTCACAGAAATATAGTTGAAAACTTCCCAAATTTGCCAAGAGATGTAAATGTACAGTTTCAACAGGCTGAGCAAACCTCCAAACATAATAAACCCAAAGAAATCCACACCAAGAGACATCATAATCAAATTTCTGAAAACTAAATACAAAGAAAAAAATCTTGAAATCAGCCAGAGGAAAACATGGCAGAAACAATTAAAATCGAAATAGATTTCTCATCATAAACCATGTATTCCAAAAGAAAAGTGACACAAATATTTTTCAAATGCTGAAAGAAAAGAACTGTCAATCCAGAGTCCTATACCCAGTAAAAATATCCTGTGAGAATTAAGGGGAAATCACAATATTCTCAGATGAAGAAAAACTAAGATAATTTGTCATCAGGAGAACCGCCCTAGAAGAATAGCTAAAGGAAGTTGTCTAAACAGAAAAGAAATGATACAAGGAGGATGGAACACCATGAAGCAAGGAAGAGAGTACATGGTAAGCAAAAATATTGGCAAACACAATAGGCTTTATTTCTCCTCAAGAGTTTTCCAAATTGTATTTGATGGTTGAAGCAAAACTTATAACACTATCTGATGTGGTTCTCAATGTATGTAGAAGAAATATTTAAGACAATTATACTATAAACAGGGGAAGATAAAAGGGTGTTATGGGGGGAAAGAGTTCTATACTTCACTCAAAGGATAAAAAAGAACATCAGTTGACTGAAATAGGTTATGGATACACAATGGAATACTTAGAGCAATCACTAAAAGTGCTATACAAAGAAATACAAATGCTAAAAAAGAAATACATTCAAAACACTATAGATAGGCTGGGTGATGTCTCACACTTATAATCCCAGCACTTTGGGAGGCTGAGGTATGCGGATCTTTTGAGGTCAGGAGTTTGAGACCAGCCTGGCCAACACTGTGAAACCCTGTCTCTACTAAAAATACAAAAATTAGCCAGGCATGGTGGCAGACACCTGTAATCCCAGCTACTCGGGAGGCTGAGGCACGAGAATCATTTGAACCCAGGAGGCAGAGGTTGCGATGAGCAGAGATGGCACCACTGCACTCCAGCCTGAGTGACAGAGCAAGACTCCATCTCAAAATAAAACAAAACACCACAGATAAATCAAAATGGAAAAATGTTCAATTAACCCAGAAGACAGAGAAAGTGAACAGAGAAACAGAAAGCAGAACAAACAAAACAAGAAATAAAATGTCAGGCTTAAGTTATAGCATATCAATAAGTACATTAAATGCAAGTAGCCAAAATAATCAATTAAAAGACAGATTGACAGATTGGATTTACAAATATGACCCACCTGAGTGAGGCCTGGTGGCTTGCACCTGTAATACCAGCTACTTGGTAGGCTGAGGTGGGAGGATTGCTCGAGGCTAGGAGCTCAAGACCAGCCTAGGCAACATAGCAAGACCCTCATCTCTAAAGAAAAAAAAAAAATAGCTGGAAATGGCAGCTTGCACCTGTAGTCCTAGCTACTCGAGAGTCTGAGGTGGGAGGATCACTTGAGCCCAGGAGTTCGAGGCTGAGGCCACAGTAAGCCATGATCACACCACTACACTCCAGCCTGAGTGATAGAGCAAGACCCTTCTCTAAAATATATATATTCAGATTGAAAAAAAAAGGATAGAAAAAGACATAGCATGCAAGCATTCATAAAAGGAAAGCAGAGATCGAGCACTATGGCTCACACGTGTAATCCCAGCACTTTGGGAGGCTGAGGAGGGTGGATCACTTGAGGTCAGGAGTTCGATACCAGCCTGGCCAACACGGTGAAACCCCCGTCTCTACTAAAAATACAAAAATCAGCTGGGCTTGGTTGTGGGCACCTGTAATCCCAGCTACTCAGGAGACTGAGGCAAGACAATTGCTTGAATCCTGGAGGCAGAGGTTGCAGTGAGCAGAGATCGCACCATTGTACTCCAGCCTGGACAACAGAGTGAGACTCTGTCTCAAAAAAATGGAAAACAGAAATGGTTATATTAGTATCAAGCTAAAGTAGACTTCAGAGCAAAGAAAATTGCTAGAGACAGGGAGGGAGACTACATAATGATCAAAGGGTCAATCCACCAGGAAGTATTAACAATACTAACTGTCTGTATGCCAAACAACAGATCTGCAAACTATATGATGCAAAAACTGATAGAACTGATAGTAGAAATAGACAAATCCACAATTATAGTTGGAGACTCCAACACTCCTCTCTAAACAATTGATAGAACGAGTAGACCAAAAATCAGCAAGGCTGTAGAAAAACTCAACAACACCATCAACCAACAGGACCTAATTGACATTTGTAGAACAGCTGACACAATAGCAGAATATACATTCTAATACACATCAGAATACACACTAAACATACACCAAGATAGACCATATACATTCTAATATACATCAGAATGCACACTCAACACACACCAAGATAGACCATGTACGTTCTAATACACATCAGAATGCACACGTGGCCTCCCAAAGTGCTGGGATTACAAGCATGAGCCAAAGTGCCCAGCCCAATATGAAATAGATAATTTGAATAGCCCTATAACTATTAAGAAAATTTAATTCATAATTTTGAAATTCCCTCCCAGAAAAATATCCAGACCTAAATGCTTTCACTAGATAACTCTACCAAATGTTTAAAGAATTAACACCAATTCTACGTAATCTCTTCCAGAATATAGGTAAGGAGGGAATTCTTAGTTCATTTATGCTGCTATAACAAAATACCTGAGACTGCATCATTTATAAGCAATATAAATTTTTTCTCACAGTTCTGGAAGCTGGGAAGTCCAAGACCAGAGCACCAGCAGTTCTGGAGTCTGGTGAGGGCTGCTATCTCTGCTTCAACATGGCACCTTGTTGCATCCTCCTGGGAGAATAAATGCTGTATCCTTACATGGCAGAAGGATAGAAGGACAAAAAGGGCCTAGCTAGTTTCCTCCAGACCTTTCATATGGCACTAATCCATTCATGAGGGCTCTCCCTCATGACTTAATAACTTCTTAAAAGGCCTCATCTGTTAACACTACCATAATGGGGATTAAGTTTCAACATGAACTTTAGAAAGAACACAAACACTCAACCCATGGTATCTTCATAATTGGTTTTATTTCTACCAAGACCAGATGAAGGCAGAAAACTACCAAAAAAAAAAAAAAAAACAAAACAAAAAAGTCAGAAAACCACAGATCAATACTATCTTGAAAACAGACATGAAAATCCTGAAAAAAAAAATTAGTAAATAAAATTCAGCAGTATGTAAAAAGAATTATACATCTCGACCAAGTGGGGCTTATTATAGGGAGGCAGAGCTAGTCCAATATTGGAAAATCAATAAATGTAATCAACCATATTAACAAGCTACAGAAGAAAAATCACATGATCATATCAATTGATGTGGAAAAAGTATTTGACAAAATTCAACACTCATTCATGATTTAAAAAAAACTCTCAGAAAATTATCAATAGAAAAGAAATGCATCCACTTAGTAAAAAGCACCTATAAAAAACCTACAGCAACATTATACCTGATGGTGAAAGTCTGAATATTTTTCCCTTAAAATCAAGAATAAGACAAGCGTATTCACACTTACATTCTTATTCAACATAGTACTGAAAGTTTTAGCCAGTGCAGTAAGACAAAAGGATGGGGTGAGGGAGAATAAAAAGGAAGACATTATTATCTATATATAGAAAATTCCAAGGAGTATACAAGAAAAACAAACTCTTAGTACTGAGTTCAGTAAACTTGCAGGATATAAGATAAACATACAAAAATCAATTGTATTTCTATATACTAGCAATGGACATGCAGACATCAAAATTTAAAATATAATATCATTTGCAATCACTCAAAAAGAATGGAATACTTAGGTGTCAGTCTAATAAAACATATCCAGGGATTTTATGCTGAAGACTATGCTATGCCGATGAAAGAAATAAAAATATCTAAATAAAGGGAGAGACATACTGTGTTTATGACTAGAAGATTCAACATAATAAAGGTGTAAATTCTCCCAAATTGATATGAAGTCTTAATATAATTCCTATCAAAATCCCAGAAAGTTTTAAAAATAGATATAAACAAGCTTATCCTAAAATTTAAATGAAAAGGCAAAGGAACTGGACTTCAAAACAATTTTGAAAAAGAAGAAAAAAAGTGGGAGGTGACTCAGTCTATCTGATTTCAAGACATATTATATAGGTCAGTAATCGAGACTATGTGATATTGGTGGAGAGATAGACACATAGGTCAATGGAACAGAATAAAGAATCCAGAAGCAGATCCACATAAATATGCCCAACTGATTTTTGACAAGGTGCAAAAGCAACTCAACAAAGGAGAAACAGGCTTTCAACATAAGATGCTGGAGTGATTGCACATCTATTACCAGAAATAATGAACCTCAACCTAAGCCTCACACCTCAAGCAAAAATTAACTCAAAATGGATCATGAACTTAAATGTAAAGCCATAAAACACTTAGGAAAAAAACATAGGATAAAATAGTCAAGATCTAGAATGACGTAAAGTGTTGTGTTTTTTTCACATATGGAGAATGCCCTGTGATAGGGTTCTTAGACTTGACACCAAAAGCACAGTTCATAAAAGGAAAGATGTATAAACTGGACTTCATCAAGATTTTAAATTTTTGTTCTGTAAAAAATCTTGTTAAGAGAATGAAAAGACAAGCTACAGAGTGGGAAGAAAATATTTGCAAACCATATATCTGACATAGGACTAGTATCTGGAATATATAAAGAACTCTCAAAAATTAAACAATAAGAAAGCAAACAATCCAATTAGGAAATGGACAAAACATGTGAAGAGACATTTTAACACAGAAAATATACAGACGACAAATAAGCACGTGAAAATATGTTCAACAGCATAAGCCATTCGTGAAATTCAAGTTGAAACCACTATGCAGTATTACTACATATCTATCAGGATGGCTAAGATGAAAAATAGTGACACCACCAAATTCTGACAAGGATGCAGAGAAACTAGATCACTCATATGATGCTGGTGAGAATGTGAAATGGTGGTGTTTGGAAGTTTCTTAGAAAAGTAAACATGCAACTGCCATATGACCCAGCAATTGAGCTCCTGGGTATTTATCTCAGAGAAATGAAGACTTGTAGTCACACAAAAGTTTGTGCACAAATGTTTATAGCAGCTATATTCATAAGAGCTCAAAACTAGAAGCAATCTAGATGTCCTTCAATAGGTGACTGCTTAGACAAAATATGGTACATTCTATGCGATGTTATTCAACAGTAAAAAGGAACAAACTTTTGATAAACACAACAACCTAGATGAATCTCCAGAGGATTAGGCTGAGTGGGGAAAAAAGCCAATCTTGGCCGGGCGCGGTGGCTCACACCTGTAATCCCAGCACTTTGGGAGGCCGAGGCAGGCAGATCACGAGGTCAGGAGATCGAGACCATCCTGGCTAACACAGTGAAACCCCGTCTCTACTAAAAATACAAAAAAATTAGCTGGGCGTGGTGGCGGGTGCCTGTAGTCCCAGCTACTCGGGTGGCTGAGGCAGGAGAATGGCGTGAACCCGGGAGGCGGAGCTTGCAGTGAGCCGAGATCGCGCCACTGCACTCCAGCCTGGGCAACAGAGCGAGACTCCGTCTCAAAAAAAAACAAAAAACAAAAAACAAAAAAAAAAGCCAATCTCAAAAGGTTGCCTATGTATGATTTCATTTCCATAACGTTTTTGAAATGACAAAATTCTAGAAATGAAGAGTTGATTAGTGGTTGTCAGGAGTTATGGAGGGGGTGGGAGCAGGAAGTCACGGGTTGTGGCTATAAAATGGCAAGATGAGGGAACTTTATGGTAACGAAAATGTTCTGTATCTTGACAGTATCAATGTCTATATCCTGATTATAACATTGTGCTATTATATGCTGTTACCATTGGAAAAAAAATGGGTAAACGGTACACAGGATCTTGATTATTTCTTACAACTACATATGAATCTACAATTATCTCAAAATTAAAAGTTAATTTTTAAAAACAAATTCAGGGCATACACATACAAAACTAAATTTATCTTTTATAAGTTGGCAGGGTTCTGCTGATATAGACCAGGTGGCTCTGCTGAACTTAGCTGGCCTCACTCGTGTGTGCTGCTGATCTAGGCTGGGTTCCTCCAGGTCAACTGGAGAATTTGATTCTGTTTCATGTATCTGTCATCCTCAGCAGGCTGGCCTGGGCATGTTCTTATGGCCATAGCTGAGGTGCATGAGAAAACAAGCTCTAGCTTGGGCGCAGTGGCTCACGCCTGTAATCTCAACACTTTGGGAGGCCAAAGCAGGTGGATCACTTGACGTCAGGAGTTCGAGACCAGTCTGGTCAACTTGGTGAAAACCCATCTTTACTAAAAATACAAAAACTTAGCCAGGCGTGGTGGTGCACGGCTGTAATCCCAGCTATTCGTGAGGCTGAGGCACGAGAATCGCTTGAGCCCAGGAGGCAAATGTTGCAGTGAGCCAAGATGGCACCACTGGCTGGGTGCAGTGGCTCACGCCTGTGATCCCAGCACTTTGGGAGACTGAGGCTGGTGGATCACCTGAAGTCAGGAGTTTGAGACCAGCCTGACCAATATGGTGAAACCCTATCTCTACTAAAAATACAAAAATTAGCCAGACATGGTGACGTGCGCCTGTAGTCCCAGCTACTTAGAAGGCTGAGACAGGAGAATTGCTTGAACCCGGGAGGCAGAGGTTGCAGTGAGCCAAGATCGTGCCACTGCACTCTAGCCTGGGCAACAAAGCAAAACTCCATCTCAAAAAACAAACAAACAAAAAAAAATCACACCACTGCACTCCTGCACTCCACTCTGGGTAACAGAGTGAGACAAGACGAGACAAGACAGGACAGGACAGGACAGGACACGACAGGACAGGACAGGACAGGACAGGGAAAGGAAAGGAAAGAAAAGGGGAAAGGGAAGAAGAAAACAAGTTCTCGTGGACAAACCTCTCTACAGCCCAAATTTGAGTCACGGCTTTTACACACTAATGACAAAAGCAAGTCACATGATTGAGCCCAGAACCAGGGGACAGGGCAGGTCATTCATGCATGGTGGGAGGGCACTGTGAAGTTACGTGGCAACAGGCATGAATATGGGGCAGAGGAGGTGAAAAGCTGGGGTCAAGGACTCTACCACCATCCTTGAACACCTCCAGGACTAAAAATACCTATTGCGGCTTTCTCTTCTTACTGCAGTAACTCTTACCCACTCCCCCACTCTACCTGCCTCATCCAAGTGAGGGGGAAATGAAAGGAAGAAGAGGAAACAGAGCATTGAAAATGTGTGCCTCTGTGTGTGTCTGTGTGTCTGTGTGTGTCTGCGTTTGTGTCTATCTGTGTCTCTCTGTGTGTCTGTGTCTGTGTATGTGTGTCTGTGTGTATGTCTGTGTATCTCTGTGTGTCTATGTGTGTGCCTGTGTGTGCCTGCGTGTCCGTATATGTATGTGTTTGTCTCTGTGTCTGTGTATCTGTGTGTCTGTGTATCAGTGTGTGTGTGTCTATCAGTGTGTGTGTCTGTGTATCAGTGTCTGTGTGTCTGTTTGTGTATCTGTGTGTCTGTGTATCTGTGTGTGTCTGTGTGTGTGCCTGTGTGTGTCTGTGTATCTGTGTGTCTGTGTGTCTCTGTGTGTGGCTGTGTGTGTCTCTGTGTGTGTGTGTACCTGTATCTGTGTATCTGTGTGTGTGTCTCTGTGTGTGTCTGTGTGTGTGCCTGTGTGTGTCTGTGTATCTGTGTGTCTGTCTCTGTGTGTGGCTGTGTGTGTCTCTGTGTGTGTGTCTGTGTTTCTGTGTGTGTCTGTGTATCTGTGTGTATGTCTGTGTATGTGTGTGTGTGTCTGTGTGTGTCTGCATGTGTGCCTCTGTGTGTGTATCTGTATGTCTGTGTATGTGTCCCTGTGTATGTGTCTCTGTGTATCTGTGTGTCTCTTTGTGTGTGTCTGTGGGTATGTTGTGGAAATCCTTGGAAATCTCCTATTTGTGGGAACTGAATCCCCAGCACTGCCATGTAAATATTTTTCCCTCTCATGGGCCACTGTGGCCATTGTCCATTGTTTCAAAGACCCTACAACAGGATCTGAGTTTCCCTTTGCCAAAAGACAGGTCACAGGGAAGGGAACACAGCTGACCCTTGAACAATGTGGGGTTAGGGATGCTGACCCCCACGTCGTCAAAAATCCGCGTATAACTTTTGATTCCCAAAAAAGGAGTCAGGCTGATGTCTGCCCAATATTCTACTGAACTTAACTACCAAGAGCCTACAGTTGACTGGGAAACCTTGCTGATAACATAGTCAGTTAACTCATATTTCGTGTATGAATTATATAATGTATTCTTACAATAAAGTAAGCCAAAGAAAAGAAAATACTATTAAGAAAATCATGAGGAAGAAAAATATTTCCTCTTCGTTAAGTGCAAGTGGAGTTTCATGAAGGTTTTCATCCTTATTGTCTTCACACTGAGTAGGGTGCGGAGGAGGAAGCGGAGGGGTTATTCTTGCTGTCTCTGGGTGGCAGAGGCAGAAGAGGCGGAGGAAGTAAAAGGGAAGGCAGGAGAGGCAGACACACTCAGTGTAGCTTGTACTGGAAAAAACCTGTGTATAAGTGAACCTGTGCAGTTCAAATCCGTCTTGTTCAAGGGTCAACTCTCTATAACGTCTACAAATGTCCTACCCTGCGCCAGGCTGCCTCTGCCCCAATCTTTATTCCATCTTCTGCCCCATCTCTGACTCTCTTCTCACCTTTACAGTTTTCTAGAGTCCTTGTTCCTTTCCTAGCACGCACCCAGACTTTATGTTATGAGAATCCCTGTCCAAAGCCACTGAGAGCAGTCTCTTTGCCTCCGTATCTTCATTAGTAAAACATGGGTATCAGCAGTGCCCACCTCACAGCGTTGATGTGAGGATGAAGCGACATGACTGATAATGAGTTTACACTGCCCGGTATGCGGTGATTCCTCAATAAATTGCAGGATGTGTTTTTTCTTTTCTTTTAATATGGGGGTAGGGGCTGCCCAGTCTCACTGCAGACAGCTAAAGGAATCGCAGCACCAGGCGCGATGGCTCACGCCTGTAATCCCAACACTTTGGGAGGCCGAGGCGGGTGCATCACGAGGTCAGGAGTTTTGAGACCAACCTGGCAACATGGTGAAAACCCATCTCTACTAAAAATACAAAAATTAGCCGGACCTGGTGGCGAGCGCCTGTAGCCCCAGCTACTCAGGAGGCTGAAGCAAGAGAATCGCTTGAACCCGGGAGGCAGAGGTTGTAGTGAGCCGAGACCGCGCCAATGCACTCCAGCCTGGGCGACAGAGCGAGACTCCATCTAAAAAAAAAAAAAAAAAAAAAAAAAGGAATCCCAGCAATCCAAGGCGGAATTCTAGAAATAGTTTCCCGTAGAAACACCGTTCTACACTGCAGTCTTATTCTATCCCACTATTATTACTCCCAAAGATTCTAAGGTCCCAGTGCTTTCGCTTCATCCTAGAGGCTAAATGGGCTCCCCTGGACTCGCCTGGCAGAACTAACCACCTAGAAGAACGTTATTGTAAGGGGGAAATGTGAGTGCTACATAAGTTTCTTATAAATGTGCTTTTGAAATAGAGTCCACTCTTAAGTTTGATATTTCCTAAAATTTAATGTGTGAAGGAAGATGCTTGGGAGACAATCCGTTTATCAGGCTGATATATGGCAGATAGTCTACTGACCTCCCTGAGCAAGAACCTTAGGAATGAGGCCAGGTGGCAGAAACACTCAGGGCCAAGGGTAGGGAGCAAAACTGTGATGTAAAGAGACCTAGATGGACTTGGGAGGAGGTGGGGTTCAATAGGAGGCCACGACTAATGCCCTGGCATGCAAAGGCTGGACAGGAGTCTTGAAAGAGCCTCAATTAGCTGGGCGTGGTGGCGGGCGCATGTAGTCCCAGCTACTCGGGAGGCTGAGGCAGGAGAATGGCGTGAACCCGAGAGGCGGAGCTTGCAGTGAGCCTAGATTGCGCCACTGCACTCCAACCTGGGCGACAGAGGGAGACACCATCTCAAAAAAAAAAAAAAAAAGAAAAGAAAAGAAAAGAAGAAACAAAGAGCCTCAAAAATATGGAAAACCAGATCCTAAGAGCAAAATGCCAAGGGGGACACTTATTAGTGAGGAGTCTGCAAAAACAGAAAGGTTTTAGCCAGAAGCTTATAGGAGTAGACCTGGAACCCAAATTGAAAAGGAACAGTGCGACCCGTAATTTGAGAAGGAAATAGAATAGGCAGAAGAACTACAGAAACTATAGCTTCGAGTCTAAGAGCCTATTTACAGGGGTGTCCAATCTTTTGGCTTCCCTGGGCCACACTGGAAGAAGAATTGTCTTGGGCCACACATAAAACACACTAACACTAATAGCTGATGAGCTAAAAAAAAAAAAAAAAAAAAGAAAAGAAAAGAAAAGAAAAAAGAATGGCCGTGCATAAATCTCATAATGTTTTAAGAAAGTTTACAAATTTGTGTTGAGCCACATTCAAAGCCATCCTGGGCCTCATGCAGCCCGTGGAAGCTTGCATAAGAGAGAGATTTAGGACCTTTTGGCGGAAGTGCTCGATAAGGATTGAATAGCACCATAAACTGAAGCTAAACTGAAAGGTTTTAGAATTTAACTTAAGACACCTCAAATGCTTTTAGATGAAACTCAGGACTTTTCACTGTAGTAAAGTTCAGCGTGAAATTGACCTTGTAGGGGCACCAGACAGCAGTGAGCAGGGTGTATAAGAGTGAGGGAGGGGTTAATAAATAGAGATGGTGGGAAAAGGAGCTGGCTTTTCGTGAGTTCAGCTTCTTGCAGACTAGACTAGCAAGAGTCAAGAATGAACCTAAGCCAGACTCAGGTCTACTGGGCAGTGCTAGGCCTGTCTCAACCCTGTTTGCACATCAGGTACCCCATGCGTCTGCTGTAGTCTGTAGCTACATGGGAACCTAAAACATCACCGAGGTTTCTAGTGATGTTGAAACTCAGCTAATAAACAGGGAATCCCGAGGGTTCCCCTCTACTCCACTCCTGACAGTGGCCATCCTGCCTCTGCTTGAATACCTTAACTCGCCTCTCATGAGGCACCCATCTCCTCATTAAATGATTGTCACTGGGAAGAATCCGCCCCACACAGCCAGATCAAATTTACCCCCTGGTAACTTTCAGCCCCTGGTCCCCATTCTGCTCTTTAGCACTAGGTAGCTGAATCGAATCTTTCCATGAGAGTCAATTCCATTCCTCCTAAATCTTCTCTCTTCTAAGATAAATAGTCCACATTATACAATCTTAATACCCAATTCAATGAGCACTTCATGATAGTCTAATATATGCAAAGCACCATGCTTGTGCCAAGTGGGACCCTAAAGCGAATATTATCTCCTTGCTCTTTAGGCAAACAGGGTGAAGACAAGAGGCATAGGTGATGGACACTAAAACAAAGACCGTAAGTACTGTAATAGCTACACACAACTTACAATCATATAGGCATGGGGAAAGAGTAGCCCAGCTTACCTTGGAGGATCTGGAAAGGTTCTAAGAAGAAGTGGAATTGAGTTGGAGTTGGAAAGACTTCAACAATCAGATGTGAGAAGGACGTGGGTGGTGAGTGCAAAGAAAATAGGACACGGCTGAGGACCTTGTTTTCTTTTTCTTTTTTGAGGTTTTTTTCTTCTTCCTTTGTTTTTCGTTTTATTTTTATTTTTCATTAACAAGTAGTAATAATACATGTTTATGGAGTACAATTTGATGTTTTGATATAGGTTTACAATGTGGAATGATTAAATCAGGCTAATTAGTAAATCCATCACCTCACAAACTTACCAATTTTTTGCAGTAAAAACATTTAAGATCTACTTTTAGCAATTTTGAAATATACAATGCATTATTACTTATTATAGTTACCATGCTGTGCAATTGATTAGTAAAGCTTATTCCTCTTGTCTAACTGAAACTGTGTAGCCTTTTCCCAACCACCGCTCCACCCCCAGTCCCTGGTAACCACCATTGTACTCTCTACTTCTATGAGATCAACTTTCTCAGATCCTACCTATGAGTGAGATCGTGCAATATTTGTCTTTCTGTGCCTGGCTTATTTCACTTAGCGTAGTGTCCTCCAGATTCATCCATGTTGTCCCAAATCACAGGATTTCACCCCTGTTTAAGGCTGAGTAGTATTCTATTGTGCATATATACCACATTTTCTTTATTCATTCATCTGTTGATGGACACCTAGATTGATTCCATATCTTGGCTATGGTAAATCGTGTTGCAATGAACATGGGAGTTCAGGTGTCTCTTCAACATACTGATTTCAATGCCTTTGGATAAATACCCAGAAGTGGGATTGCTGTATCAGGACCTTGGTTTCTTAGCTTCTGTCTGACCTTGAGCATACCTAAAATAAGAGCCCTGAACGAGATAATTTCTAAAGTTTAGTGATAGAGACCAAAAGGAGTATACGTCTGAGCATTCCAACTTAGGCCAAAGCCTAAAAGTGAGAAGCCTGCCCATATCAAGGGAGTGAGGTGTGTGTTTGGGGCAGGGGTAGTAGAAGAGCAAGACGGTTCATGAATTCAGTATTCTTGTTTCACTGATGCAGCACCCATCACCATTCTGATCAGGTCCCTTGGGGACATGGACAGTGTCCTTAGAATGACAATGATGATGGTACCACCAGCACCACCACCACCATTTCTCTAGCATGTGGGTGAGCCAAACACCTTTGGAAACACCTTACATATTTACATTTACATCCTACTGAATCCTCATAACAGCCCTGTGAGATAGATAGAATTTTTATTATTCTCATTTTACAAATTAGAAAGCTGAGGCACAGAAAGGTTAAATAACTTGCCCAAGTCCATAGGGCTAATCTAATAGCAGAGCTGGGATTTGAAGGCAAGTAGTCTCACTCCCTGCTTTTCTTCCTCGAAAAACACAAGGGCAGGGCTGAACTCAGCTCAGGGGACACAATCTATACCAGGACAAGGTTACAATGGCCCTATAACTTCTTCTTCTTCTTTTTTTTTTTTTTGAGACGAAGTTTCACTCTTGTTGCCCAGGCTGGAGTGCAATGGCGCAATCTCAGCTCACTGCAACCTCCACCTCCCGGGTTCAAGCAATTCTCCTGCCTCAGCCTCCCGAGTAGCTGGGGTTACAGGCATGTGCCACCACACCCGGCTAATTTTGTATTTTTAGTAGAGATGGGGTTTCTCCATGTTGGTTAGGCTGGTCTCGAACTTCCAACCTCAGGTACCCGCCTTGGCCTCCCAAAGTGCTGGGATTACAGGCGTGAGCCACCATGCCCAGCCGGCAATATAACTTCTTTTGCATTCTCATTAACTCAGCCTCAGACGACACTGGCTTCCTTGGAAGCCACTGCATACTGATGATTGAAGTGGAGCTGACAATCACCTAAAAACCCCTAAATGCCTTTGACATGAGCCACTCTTAAGCCAGGTCTCTCCCATTCTGTTCACGTGTGGCTGATCAGTTCAAACTAAATGTTGGGTTTTACGTTGAACCCTATACAATTCTAGGTTTTAGCTTATAGTTTCACCCTACTATAATTTTGAAACATGATATGTTACCTAATGTTACCTCTCCCGGTTTAGTAATAACATAAACAAAAACAGTTGACAGTTATGGGGGCCCTGACTTTGTGCCAGACACCCTGCTACGTATTTGTTTGTTTAATGTAATACCTTATATAATCATTTAGTCTTTACACAAAGTTAAATATTATTATTATTCTCACTTAATAGGATAGGAAACCAAGTCTAGTGAAGTTAAGAAGCTTGCTCAAAATCCAATTAGGGGCTGGGCGCAGTAGCTCATGCCTGTAATCCCAGCTCTTTGGAAGGCCAAGGCAGGTGGATCACCTGAAGTCAGGAGTTCGAGACCAGCCAGGCCAACATGGAGAAACCCCATATCTACTAAAAATACAAAAAATTAGCCAGGCGTGGTGGCAGGTGCCTGTAATCCCAGTTACTTGGGAGGCTGAGGCAGGAGAATTGCTTGAACCCAGGAGGTGGAGGTTGCAGTGAGCCGAGATCATGCCACTGCACTCCAACCTGGGCAACAGAGCAAGACTCCATCTCGAAAAAAAAAAAAAATAAAATCCAATTAGGAAGGGACTGACCCAAGAGTCATACCTAGGATTATCTGACTCCAGGGCCTGAACTTTTATCTATGTTCTCTGCAGCGTCCTCACATCTTCTACACACTTGTTATTATCTAAGTCAATCATGAAAAATGATGAAACAGGCCAGGCGTGTTGGCTCACACCTGTAATCCCAGCACTTTGGGAGGCCGAGGCGGGCAGATCATGAGGTCAGGAGATCGAGACCAGCCTGGCCAACAGGGTGAAACCCCATCTCTACTAAAAATACAAAATGAGCCAGGCGTGGTGGCATGTGCCTGTAGTCCCAGCTACTCGGGAGGCTGAGGCAGGAGAATCGCTTGAACCCAGGAGGCAAAGGTTGCAGTGACCTGAGATCACACCACTGGACTCCAGCCTGGGCGACAGAGCGAGACTCCATCTCAAAAAAAAAAAAAAGAATAAAGAAAAATGATGAAACAGAATCAGGGAGAGAATTCAGAGGAAAATGACATCCCTCCAGGTGTGTATGAACCAATTACTCATAGAGTCATAAACAGTTAGAGAATGAGGCATTTTTCACAAAATATTGAGGGCTGGAGAGGTTGAACAATTTGCTCCCACTCACACATCTAGGAAAGAGAGGAGATGGAAAAGTAAACAATCCAGAAAGGTCAAGGCCCTCATTCCATCAATGCACAATTCAAGTACACATACGTGGGAAACCATCTGAAAAGTTTTGTAATTACAATTTCATCTAGCCAGCAATTCTCCAACTCATTCACATGCATCTCATGACATCGTTGTCAGAAGCCTTGCTAGAGTGAACGTGCACTTCATCAAACACACCCCTGATCCGTGGGAGATGGGATTCGTTTGTGCTGATCTACTCTCCAGGAACACAAGAAACTCACCATTCTAACGGTTCATAAATCATCCATTTAATACCCCAGTTTCAGATTTTGCAGGAATTAACATCAATGCACGGTTTTTGAGACCCGCCAACTTGCTGAAACAGTGCAAGCCACCTGCAGTCCTCGGATACCACTCAGTGATGGCCCTAGGTCTCCCTACTCTGGGCCTGAGATTCACTTACAGCTGCAAAACACACCTGTGCACTCTCCTCATAGGCAGAACGCTTTCACTTCTCAGTCATTTCCAACTGAGACTGTTTTCTCTGGTAGAGAATACAGAAGTCAAATGGACTCAGAGTGGTTCTGCCTTGTCTCTGCCTTCTGTTGTTGAGAATAAACCAGAAAAATCCCTTCTTCTGTCATTAACATTTTCAAGAAGCTCCGTTCAGTCCAGTGCTCTTATTTCAGGCCTATCACACCCTTTCATATTTGTGTTTTCATAGCCACTGACAAAGACTGTGTCCTTGACCAAACTTTAGTCAGGTTCCTCTGAGCCCAATCAGGCCCCATCCTTGGGCATGCCCCCACCCCCAATGTCTGATCACCCTCAAAATCTGATCAAATTCCTCATCCCTCATCATCCCCGAGGCGATGTCTGATCACCCTGCCTGGTCTTCAGCAAAAATCACACTAGGTCAACTTAGCCAGAATCCCCTGACTCCCAATGTTTCCCCTTAGTAATTTTCCACCCACTGACCCCACCTTATTCCTTGGTTACAAATCCCCATTTGCCTCTGCTGCATTCAGAGTTGAGCCCAGTTTCTCTCCCTGACCACAAGACCCTATTGCAGTGGTCCGTCCCTACACCAACTGCGATAGTCCCGGATAAAATCTGCCTTACCCTTTTAACAAGGGTCAAGAGTAAATTTTTCCTTAACATCTCCTGTGGGCACTATTTGTATACATTTAAAGTGAGAGCTTATCCAAGAGCTTCCTTTTTAGCCTGGCAATCAAGTATCCTTTTTGCTTCTTTCTCCCGATCACTCCCTAAACCCCTCATCTATAGTAAGAAGCAGAATCAGAATTTGACTCCAAGACTGTGCCTGAGGAGCCTGAGCCCTAAATACTGTGCTCTATTGTTACCTGTGTTATCTGTAAATAACTGAGCCATTGATTAAAACACAGTTAATAGGCTGGGCACGGTGGCTCACGCTCACTCGTAATCCCAGCACTTTGGGAGGCCAAGGTGGGCGGATCAACTGAGGTCAGGAGTTCGAGACCAGCCTGACCAACATGGTGAAACCCCATCTCTACTAAAATACAAAAGTTAGCTGGGCGTGGTGGTAGGCGCCTGTAATCCCAGCTACTCAGGAGGCTGAGGCAGGAAAATCGCTTAAACCTGGAAGGCCTCGGAGGTTGCAGTGAGCCGAGATTGCGCCACTGCACTCCAGCCTGGACGACAAGAGCGAAACTCCATCTCAAAACAAAAACAAAACACAATCAATAACAGAACCTAGAGATCTCTAGCTAGATGCATCTCAATCAATTAAGCATGCAATCAAAGAGACTGAAGGGGACCTGAGGTCCAGATAATTTAAGTGATTTAACCAACGTTAAAGATTATTTCTTAAGGGGAAAATCATGACTCTCACATGATATAAAAGAACATGTGGCAAATATTTTATTTAACTAATTTAACTGGAGCCAGCAAAATATTAAAACCAGCTCAAAGGAGAAAACTCCAACTACCACACATTTATAGTCAGATAAGAAATACCGAAATAAATTTACAAACAGGCAAAACTGGAAAAACTGGTTAATATCTACAGGACAATAAACAAAGGCATTCCACGGGAGACTATTTGCATTATAATATGCAAGGAATTATTTGCATTACGATCAGTTTTCTATATGTTAACTTCTTTCTAAGGAGTTGTAAAATAGCATAATCAAAAGCAAATAAATAAGCATATCTCTATAAAATCAGATAATCCCCAAAGGCTCTAACATTCCATTGAAAGGATATCCAGTAATCTCTTTGCCCATTGCAAATCTTTCCATTTTTCCCTACGCCAAAGTCAAAAAGCAGTAATAGCAACTCCAGAAAAGAGGTGAAGAGAGCCGGGCTCGGTGGCTCACGCCTGTAATCCCAGCACTTTGGGAGGCCGAGGCGGGTGGATCACCTGAGGTCGGGAGTTCGAGACCAGCCTGACCAACATGGAGAAACCCCTTCTCTACTAAAAATACAAAATTAGCTGGGTGTGGTGACACATGCCTGTAATCCCAGCTACTAGGGAGGCTGAGGCAGAAGAATTGCTTGAACCTGGGAGGCGGATGTTGCAGTGAGCCGAGATCGCACCACTGCACTCCAGCCTGGGCAATAAGAGCAAAACTCCATTAAAAAAAAAAAAAAAGAAGTGAAGAACATCAACAAACTGGGCTGCATCTGAACCATGTGAAGAAGATGGTCAGGTTTAGTGGTTAGCGTCATGGGCCTTAAAGACAGTGCCTGGGCTCCCTCAAATTCCAGCTTTGCCTCATGTGCTCGTGTGACCCTGGGAAATTTTACTTAAGTCTTTTGTGTGTTTGTCTTTTTTTTTTTTTTTTTTTGAGATGGAGTCTCTGTTGCCCAGGCTGGAGGAGTACAGTGGCTCCATCTTGGCTCACTGCAACCTCCCCCTCCTGTGTTCAAGCAATTCTTTTGCCTCGGCCTCCCCGAGTAGCTGGGACTACAGGTGTGTGCCACCACGCCCAGCTAAATTTTTTTGTGTTTTTAGTAGCGACGAGGTTTCACCATGTTGGCCAGGCTGTTCTCCAACTCTTGACCTCAGGTGATCTGCCCGCCTCGGCCTCCCAAAGTGCTGGGATTACAGGCGTGAGTCATTGTGCCCAGACTCTTTTTTTTTTCTTTTTTTTGAGACGGAGTCTCTGTTGCCCAGGCTAGAGTGCAGTGGCATGATGTCGGCTCACTGCAACCTCCGCTTCCCGGGTTCAAGCGATTCTCCTGCCTCAGCCTCCCGAGTAGCTGGGATTACAGTCATGTGCCACCACACTTGGCTAATTTTGTATATTTAGTAGAGACGGGGTTTCAGACGGGGTTGGCCAGGCTGTTCTGTAACATTCTACCACAAAAGAAGTGAAAATGGCCTGTTCCTGCCTTAACTGATGACATTGTCTTGTGAAATTCCTTCTCCTGGCTCATCCTGGCTCAAAAGCTCCCCCACTGAGTACCTTGTGACCCCCACTCCTGCCCGCCAGAGAACCCCCCTTTTTCCTTTACCTACCCAAATCCTATAAAACAGCCCCACCCCATCTCCCTTCACTGACTCTCTTTTCGGACTCAGCCCGCCTGCACCCAGGTGAAATAAACAGCCATGTTGCTCACACAAAGCCTGTTTGGTGGTCTCTTCACACCGACGCGCATGAAATTTGGTGCCATGACTCAGATGGGGGACCTCCCTTGGGAGATCAATCCCCTGTCCTCCCACTCTTTGCTCCGTGAGAAAGATCCACCTATGACCTCAGGTTCTCAGACCAAGCAGCCCAAGAAACATCTCACCAATTTCAAATCCAGTAAGCGGCCTCTTTTTACTCTCTTCTCCAACCTCCCTAACCCTCAGCCTCTTTCTCCTTTCAATCTTGGCGCCACACTTCAATCTCTCCCTTCTTTTAATTTCAGTTCCTTTCATTTTCTGGTAGAGACAAAGGAGACACGTTTTATCCGTAGACCCAAAACTCCGGTGCCGGTCACGGACTGGGAATGCAGCCTTCCCTTAGTGTTTAATCATTGCAAGGACACCTCTCTGATTATTCCCCCACGTTTCAGAGGTGTCAGACCACACAGGGACGCCTGCCTTGGTCCTTCACCCTTAGCGGCAAGTCCCGCTTTTCTGGGGGAGGGGCAAGTACCCCAACCCCTTCTCTCCGTGTCTCTACCCCTTCTCCACCTTTCTGGGGTGCAAGAAACCCCCAACCCCTTATCCTTCACCCTTAGCGGCAAGTCCGGCTTTTCTGGAGGAGAGGCAAGTACCCCAACCTCATATCTCTGCACCCCAATCCCTTATTTCTGCACCCTGACCTCATATCTCTGTGCCCCAATCCCTTATTTCTGCACCCCAACCTCATATCTCTGCTCCCCGATCCCTTATTTCCATGCCCCAACCTCTTATATCTCTGCACCCCATCCCTTATTTCCATGCCCCAACCTCCTATCTCTGTGCCTGACCCCTTCTCTGCTTTTCTGGAGGGCAAGAACCCCCTACCCCTTCTCCGTGTCTCTACTCTTTTCTCTGGGCTTGCCTCCTTCACTATAGGCAAGCTTCCACCTTCCATTCCTCCTTCTTCTTCCTTAGCCTGTGTTCTTAAGAACTTAAAACCTCTTCAACTCTCACCTGACCTAAAATCTAAGTGTCTTATTTTCTTCTGCAATGCCGCTTGACCCCAATACAAACTCCACAGTAGTTCCAAATAGCCAGAAAACAGCACTTTCAATTTTTCCATCCTACAAGATCTAAATAATGCTTGTCGTAAAATAGGCAAATGGTCTGAGATGCCTGATGTCCAGGCATTCTTTTACACATCCGTCCCTCTCTAGTCTCTGTTCCCAATGCAACTCATCACAAATCTTCCTTCTTTCCCTCCCACCTGTCCCCTCAGTCCCAACCCCAAGCGTCGCCGAGTCTTTCTAATCTTCCTTTTCTACAGACCCATCTGACCTCTCTCCTCCTCGCCAGGCCGAGCTAGGTCGCAATTCTTCCTCAGCCTCTGCTCCTCCACCCTATAATCCTTTTATCACCTCCCCTCCTCACACCCGGTCCGGCTTACAGTTTCGTTCCATGACTAGCCCTCCCCCTCCTGCCCAGCAATTTACTCTTGAAAAGGTGGCTGGAGCTAAATTAAAGTTAATGCTCCTTTTTCTTTATCCCAAATCAGATAGCGTTTAGGCTCTTTTTCATCAAATATAAAAAACCCAGCCCAGTTCATGGCTCGTTCGGCAGCAACCCTGAGACACTTTACAGCCCTAGACCCTAAAAGGTCAAAAGGCCGTCTTATTCTCAAAATACATTTTATTACCCAATCTGCTCCCGACATTAAATAAAACTCCAAAAATTAAATTCCGGCCCTCAAACCCCACAACAGGATTTAATTAACCTCGCCTTCAAGGTGTACAATAATAGAAAAAAGTTGCAATTCCTTGCCTTCACTGTGAGACAAACCCCAGCCACATCTCCAGCACACAAGAACTTCCAAAGGCCTAAACCTCAGCGTCCAGGCGTTCCTCCAGAACCTCCTCCCCGAGGAGCTTGCTACAAGTGCCAGAAATCTGACCACCAGGCCAAGGAATGCCTGCAGCCCAGGATTCCTCCTAAGCCGTGTCCCATCTGTGCGGGACCCCACTGGAAATCAGACTGTTCAACTCACCTGGCAGCCACTCCCAGAGCCCCTGGAACTCTGGCCGAAGGCTCTCTGACTGACTCCTTCTCAGCTTAGCGGCTGAAGACTGACGCTGCCCGATAGCTTCGGAAGTCCCGTAGACCATCACAGATGCCGAGCTTTAGGTAACTCTCACAGTGGAGGGTAAGCCCGTCCCCTTCTTAATCAATACGGAGGCTACCCACTCCACATTACCTTCTTTTCAAGGGCCTGTTTCCCTTGCCTCCATAACTGTTGTGGGTATTGATGGCCAGGCTTCTAAACCTCTTAAAACTCCCCAACTCTAGTGCCAACTTAGACAATACTCTTTTAAGCACTCCTTTTTAGTTATCCCCACCTGCCCAGTTCCCTTATTAGACTGAGACACTTTAACTAAATTATCTGCTTCCCTGACTATTCCTGGGCTACAGCCACACCTAATTACCACCTTTTCCCTCAGTTCAAAGCCTCCTTCACATCCTCCCCTTGTATCTCCCCACCTTAACCCACAAGTATAAGATACCTCTACTCCCTCCTTGGCGACCAATCACACACCCCTTACCATCTCATTAAAACCTAATCACCCTTACTCCGCTCAATGCCAAGATCCCATCCCACAGCACGCTTTAAAAGGATTAAAGCCTGTTGTCACTCGCCTGCTACAGCATGGCCTTTTAAAGCCTATAAACTCTCCTTACAATTCCCCCATCTTACCTGTCCTAGAACAAGACAAGCCTTACAAGTTAGTTCAGGATCTATGCCTTATCAACCAAATTGTTTTGCCTATCCACCCCGTGGTGCCAAACCCATATACTCTCCTATCCTCAATACGTCCCTCCACAACCCATTATTCTGTTCTGGATCTCAAACATGCTTTCTTTACTATTCCTTTGCACCCTTCATCCTAGCCTCTCTTCGCTGTCACCTGGACTGACCCTGACACCCATCAGGCTCAGCAAATTACCTGGGCTGTACTGCCGGAAGGCTTCACAGACAGCCCCCATTACTTCAGTCAAGCCCAAATTTCTTCCTCATCTGTTACCTATCTCAGCATAATTCTCATAAAAACACACGTGCTCTCCCTGCTGATCGTGTCCGATTAATCTCCCAAACCTCAATCCCTTATAAAACAACAACTCCTTTCCTTCCTAGGCATGGTTAGTGCAGTCCGAATTCTTACACAAGAGCCAGGACCGCACCCTGTAACCTTTCTATGCAAACAACTTGACCTTACTGTTTTAGCCTAGCCCTCATGTCTCCGTGCAGTGGCTGCTGCCGCCCTAATACTTTTAGAGGCCCTCAAAATCACAAACTATGCTCAACTTACTCTCTACATTTCTCATAACTTCCAAAATCTATTTTCTTCCTCATACCTGATGCATATACTTTCTGCTCCCCGGCTCCTTCAGCTGTACTCACTCTTTGTTAAGTCCCACAATTACCATTGTTCCTGGCCCGGACTTCAATCTGGCCTCCCACATTATTCCTGATACCACACCTGACCCCCATGACTGTATCTCTCTGATCCACCTGACACTCACCCCATTTCCCCATATTTCCTTCTTTCCTGTTCCTCACCCTGATCACGCTTGATTTATTGATGGCGGTTCCACCAGGCCTAATTGCCACACACCAGCAAAGGCAGGCTATACTATAGTACAAGCCACTAGCCCGCCTCTTAGAACCTCTCATTTCCTTTCCATCGTGGAAATCTATCCTCAAGGAAATAACTTCTCAGTGTTCCATCTGCTATTCTACTACTCCTCAGGGATTATTCAGGTCCCCTCCCTTCCCTACACATCAAGCTTGAGGATTTACCCCCACCCAGGACTGGCAAATTAACTTTACTCAACATGCCCTGAGTCAGATAACTAAAATACCTCTTAGTCTAGGTAGACACTTTCACTAGATAGGAAGAGGCCTTTCCTACAGGGTCTGAGAAGGCCACCGCAGTCATTTCTTCCCTTCAGTCAGACATAATTCCTCAGTTTAGCCTTCCCACCTCTATACAGTCTGATAACAGACGAGCCTTTATTAGTCAAATCAGCCAAGCAGTTTTTCAGGCTCTTAGTATTCAGTGAAACCTTTATATCCATTACAGTCCTCAGTCTTCAGGAAAAGTAGAACAGACTAAAGGTCTTTTAAAAACACACCTCACCAAGCTCAGCCACCAACTTAAAAAGGACTGAACAATACTTTTACCACTTTCGCTTCTCAGAATTCAGGCCTGTCCTCAGAATGCTACAAGGTACAGCCCATTTGAGCTCCCATATAGATGCTCCTTTTTATTAGGCCCCAGTCTCATTCCAGACAGCAGACCAACTTAGACTGTGCCCCAAAAAACTTGTCATCCCTACTATCTTCTGTCTAGTCATACTCCTATTCACCATTCTCAACTAATCATACATGCCCTGCTCTTGTTTACACTGCCAGTTTACACTGTTTCTCCAAGCCATCACAGCTGATATCTCCTGGTGCTATCCCCAAACTGCCACTCTTAACTCTTGAAGTAAATAAATAATCTTTGCTGGCAGGACTATGCTGAATCTCCTTAGGCACTCTTTAATCAGATGTCCTAGGTCCTCCCAATTCTTAGACCTTTTATACCTGTTTTTCTCCTTTTCTTATTCCGTTTAGTTTTTCAATTCATACAAAACTATATCCAGGCCATCACCAATAATTCTAAATGACAAATGTTTCTTCTAACAGCCCCACAATATCACCCCTTACCACAAAATCTTCCTTCAGCTTAATCTCTCCCACTCTAGGTTCCCACGCCACCCCAATCCCACTCGAAGCAGCCCTGAGAAACATCGCCCATTATCTCTCCATACCACCCCCAAAAATTTTCGCTGTCCCAACACTTTACCACTATTTCGTTTTATTTTTCTTATTAATATAAGAAGACAGGAATGTCAGGCCTCTGAGCCCAAGCTAAGCCATCATATCCCCGTGACCTGCACGTACACATCCAGATGGCCAGTTCCTGCCTTAACTGATGACATTCCACCACAAAAGACGTGAAAATGGCCTGTTCCTGCCTTAACTGATGACATTGTCTTGTGAAATTCCTTCTCCTGGCTCATCCTGGCTCAAAAGCTCCCCCACTGAGTACCTTGTGACCCCCACTCGTGCCCGCCAGAGAACAACCCCCCTTCTTCCTTTACCTACCCAAATCCTGTAAAACCCCATCTCCCTTCGCTGACTCTCTTTTCAGACTCAGCCCGCCTGCACCCAGGTGAAATAAACACCCATGTTGCTCACACAAAGCCTGTTTAGTAGTCTCTTCACATGGACATGCATGAAACTGACCTCAAGTAATCCACCTGCCTCAGCCTCCCAAAGTGCTGGGATTACAGGCATGAGCCACCACGTGTGGCCTGTTTGTTTTTTGAGACAGTTCTGTCACCCAGGCTGGAGTGCAGTGGTTTGATCACTGCAGCCTTGAACTCCTGGGCTCAAGTGATCCTCCCACCTCAGCCTCCAGAGTATGGGACTACAGGCATGCAGTACCATACCTGGCTAATTTTTTTGATTTTTTTTTTCTTTTTTTGTAGAGATGGGGCCTCACTATGTTACCCAGGCTAGTCTCAAACACCTGGCCTCATGCAATCTGCTTCCCAAAAGCACACCCAAAAGGTGTGAGCTACCATATCCCACCTACTTAACTCTTTTGTATCTCAGTTTCTTCATATGTAAAATGGGCATAACTGTCGTGCCTACTACACAGCTGAGTTAATAATTGGCATGGACTCAGTAAAATAAGAACTATTATTGTTAGGCCTCTTTGGAGCCATGGCCACAACAGCATGCCTATCTTTACTCTAAAAATTTTGCCCAACTAGGCTCAGAATTCTCTCTCAACCATCTCCAATTTTACAGTAAAATGAACATTCTGTCTCCAAGGTTCCCATTGCTTCTATGAGACCAACCAGTGCCTCTTTGTCAGCCAAATGCAAGGATAGAACAATGTTTATCACCGTGGCTTCCTTTGACTTAAGAGATGGTATTAGCAGCAAGTGTGAAATGACCTATGTTTATCAGGAGTCTTCCATGGAAGTCATGGTAGTCAGATCTCCTATCACGATTACCTCCTGCCTTGGTGCAGGGCGTGATCTCTGTACTAAGAACGTCTTTCTCCATCTCATCTCTGGCCAGGCCAGTTATAGCAACACAGCACTATCACTTCAATCCTTCTATTATTTTGTCTTCACTCAAACCACAGATAAGAGGATCTTCCTACAGGTATAGGGGAGAAGAAAATTTATTTTTCCTCTACCCTCCTAGGTTTTTTGGCTGGGGCCCTGCAAATTAGACTGACGAAAGATAGATTAACAAAAGAAAAACAGACAGAAGTTTATTATTAACACATGCATACACACAGGATCGCTCAATGATGAGTGACTCAAAGGAGTGGTCAGAAATTGGGCTTATAGAGCACCTTTTAAAAAAATATAAATTTGTAAAAAAGTGACAAGACAGGCCGGGTGCAGTGAGTGGCTCACGCATATAATCTCAGCACTTTGGGAGGCCGAGGCAGGCGGATCACTTGAAGTCAGGAGTTTGAGACCAGCCTGGCCAGCATGGAGAAACCCTGTCTCTACTAAAAACACAAAAATTAGCTGGGCATGATGGCGTGCACCTGTAATCTAAGTGACTCTGGAGACTGAGGCAGGAGAATCGCTTGAACCGGGGAGGCGGAGGTTGCAGTGAGCAGAGATTGCACCACTGCACTCCAGGCTGGGCGACAGAGTGAGACTCCATCTCAAAAAAAAAAAAAAAGAAGAAGAAGTGACAAGACAAAGGGAAAGAGCTTTAGGCTTCTGGAGGTGGCAAACTGTGGGAAGGTAAGTAGATGGGAAAAGTAATGGAAGATAAAGATTGCCTTAGTGAGGTTGGTTATGTAGGTTCCTCCAGCGCCATCTCTGGGCTGCTTAAGAGTCCAGAGTTGTCTCCAGCGACTGAGAATCTTCCTGTCCTCCCTGGTAGGGAGACATGGGGAGCAGAGAGTTTCTCTTTGTTTCTATTTTTTTTTTTTTTTGAGGCGAAGTCTCGCTCTGTTGCCCAGGCTGGAGTGCAGTGGCACAATCTTGGCTCACTGCAACCTCTGCCACCCAGGTTCAAGCGTTCTCCTGCCTCAGCCTCCTGAGTAGCTGAGATTACAGGCACCCACCACCATGCCCAGCTAATTTTTGTATTTTTAGTAGAGATGGGGTTTCGCCATGATGACCAGGCTGGTCTTGAACTCCTGACCTCAGATGATCCACCCACCTCGGCCTCCCAAAGTGTTGGAATTACAGGCGTGAGCCACCGCACCTGGCCGAGAGTTTTTCTTGTGTCTGCTTCATCTTCATTGCCTTCAGCTCAAAATGATCTTAAGGTTAAAGTGTTGTACTTTGGGGAGTGGCATGTTGACCCCTTCACAGATGTTCTTCATAATGAATAGTGCTTCTCCTCTGCTCCGTTTCCCAAATCTTTCATTTCAACCAGTCACAGCCTTTTATTGCTCCATTCCAACTCTGATCCTATTTCATTGAGTTTCATCATTGATATCAAAACAAGGATAAATGTCAAACCCCAGAGTAATCTGGTGTCCACTCTAAAATCTGCTCATCTGGCCTTTCAAGTCTTCTTTGGTTACTCAGTGATGGGCAAAAACCCCAACGTTTTCCTGAGGATGGGCTTTTTATCTATATTATTCAAACTCTTAGGCATTTTTATCTAAGATATATTTCCAGTGATGATATAAATCAATTCCAGAATCATAGATTAAAGTGAATTCAAAGCATATATAACAATTTCAAAAATATTCATACCCAATAATTCCACTCTCAGGCATCATTTCTCAGGAAACAATAGAAAATGTGAGCAAAGATGAAAAGCTCTACCCTGCAGCATTATTTGTAACAGTAAGCACTTGAAGACAAACAAAACATTATTATTATTATTTTTTTTTTTTTTTTTTGAGACAGAGTCTCGCTCTGTCGCCCAGGCTGGAGTGGCGCAATCTCGGCTCACTGCAAGCTCCGCCTCCCGGGTTCACGCCATTCTCCTGCCTCAGCCTCCTGAGTAGCTGGGACTACAGGCGCCCACCACCATGTCTAGCTAATTTTTTGTATTTTTAGTAGAGACGGGGTTTCGCTGTGTTAGCCAGGATGGTCTCGATCTCCTGACCTCGTGATCTACCTGCCTTGGCCTCCCAAAGTGCTGGGATTACAAGCATGAGCCACCGCACCTGGTGACAAACAAAACATTTAAAAATAGTTGGCTGGCTGATTATTTGATTTGATTTGATTTTTATTTTGATTTTTTTGGAGACTGAGTCTCGCTCTGTCACCCAGGCTGGAGTGCAGTGGTGTGATCCCAGCTCACTGCAACCTCTGCCTCCTGGGTTCAAGTGATTCTCCTCTGGATGAATATTTTTAGTGCTATCATTCACTGGAATGATGTCGCCACTAAAAAATTTTATTTACAAAATAAGTTTATTAGAAGTTATGATGGCTGGACGTGGTGGCTCACACCTGTAATCCCAGCACTTTTGGGAGGCTGAGGCAGACAAATATCTTGAGCTCAGGAGTTGGAGACCAGTCTGGCCAACATAGTGAAACCCCGTCTTTATTAAAAATACAAAAATGAGCCAGGCGTGGTGGCACATGCCTGTAATTGCAACTACTCTGGAGACTGAGGTGGGAGAATAGCTTGAACCCGGGAGGCAGAGGTTGCAGTGAGCCGAGATCGTGCCACTGCACTCCAGCCTGGGGAACAGAGTGAGACTCTGTCTGAAGAAAAAAAAAGAATCATCCTGACTTTCCTTATAGAGAGGGGGAGGGCAGAGAGTTTGTCCTGTGTCTCCTTTTTCTCAAAGAAAAGAAGGGACGTCCACCAAATTTTTAGCAGCATTTCCCACTGAATGACTGCATTATGGCAATCCTTATTATGACCCTGTTTTACGAGTTTTCTACAACAGCATGTCTATGTTTACAATCGGGAGAAAAGTGGTTTTTGCTTTTGCTGTTTAATATCTAACATGTGTTGTGACCTGTCCCTGGCCAACTTGTTAGGCGTGGAGATAACATAGTTGAATGAGAGGTGGACAGTTGCTCTCCTCAGCTTCCGTGTGGGGTTTGCCCCTTCCCTGTGTTAATAGTTGCTTTACCAAAACCTTTCAGGACTTTTTTTTTTTGAGACAGGGTCTGGCTCTGTCACCCAGGCTGAGTGCAGTGGTGCCATCATGGCTCATTGCAGCCTCAAGCCCCCGGCCCCCTGCCAGGCTCAAGCAATCCTCCCGCCTCAGTCTCCTGAGTAGCTGAGACTACAGGTGTGCTCCACCACGCCCAGCTAACTTTTTATTTTTTTGTAGTGATGGGGTTATCACCATGTTGCCCAGGCTGGTTTCAAACTCCAGGACACAGTCTGTCCTCCTGCCTCAGCCTCCCAAAGCGCTGGGATTGCAGGTATGAGCCACTGTGCATGACCAAGACTCTTCAGGATCCTAAATGGTTTCAGCAACAAACATTGTTTAGTTATGTAACTCAGAACTCCAGTATGGACATACTATGTGATGTGATTTTATTATTGCTTATATGCTTTTGTGGTTTTATTGTTTGTTTTTCTGTTTGTTTGTTTTGAGACAGGGTTTTTGTTTTTGTTTTGAGACAGGGTCTTACTCTGTCACCCAGGCTAAACTACAATAGCATGATCCTAGCTTGCTGCCCCCTTGAACTCCTAGGCTCAAGCAATCTTTCTGTCTCAGACTACCAAGTAGCTAGGACTACAGGCATGTGCCACCATGCTATGTTGTCTGGCTGGTGTTGAATACCTGGTCTCCAGTGATCCTCCCACCTCAGCCCCCTGAGTAGCTAGCACTACATGCGTGAGTCATGCCTGGCTAATTAAAAAAAAAAAAATTAAGAGATGGGGTCTTACTATCACAGCGTGAATCCCAAAATTGGGGTTCAGTCTGGGAGGCCACATGGGTTCTTGGCTTCCCACAAGAAGGAATTCAAGAGTGAGCCAACAAAGTAAAATGAAAGCAAGGTTATTAAGCAAGTTAAGGAATAAAAGGGGGGCTACTCCATAGGCAGAGCAGTGGCATGGGCTGTTTGATTGAGTATACGGGTATTCCTTGATCATATGCTAAACAAAAAGTGAATTATTCGTGAGTTTTCTGGGAAAAAGGTGGGGAGTTCCCAGAACTGAGGGTTTTCCCATTTCAGACAATATAGGGTAACTTCCAGACATTGCCATAACATTTGTAAACTGACATGGGGCTGGTAGGAGCGAGTGTCTTTTAGCACAACAGTGCATTATCATTGGCATATAATGAGCTGTGAGGACGACCGGAGGTTGCTTTCATCGCATCTTGGTTTTGATAGATTTGGGCTGCTGCTTTACTACATGTCATTTTATCAGTGGTGTCTTTGTGACCTGTACCTTGCAAACCAGTCCTGAAGAACTCTTGTCTCATCACTGTGTTGTCCAGGCTGGTCTTCAAGTGATCCTCCTGGCTTCAGAGTGATCCTCTCACCTCAGCATCCCAAAATGCTGGGCTTGCAGGCTTGAGACACTGAGCCAGACCCTGTTTATTCTTGAATTGTTTCCAGTGAATATATCTCATCGTCTCCCCCCAAAAAAAGGTTGCAAGTTTTTGGCCAGGCGCGGTGGCTCACGCCTGTAATCCCAGCACTTTGGGAGGTGGAGGCGGGCAGATCGGGAGGTCAGGAGATCGAGGCCATCCTGGCTAACACGGTGAAACCCCGTCTCTACTAAAAATACAAAAAAAAAAAAAAATTATCCAGGCTTGGTGGCGGGCGCCTGTAGTCCCAGCTACTTGGGAGGCTGAGGCAGGAGAATGGCGTGAACCCAGGAGGTGGAGCTTGCAGTGAGCCAAGATCGCACCACTGCACTCCAGCCTGGGCGACAGAGCAAGACTCCGTCTCAAAAAAAAAAAAAAAAAGGTGGCAAGTTTTTATAAAAAGAGAAAAATCATTCTTAGTATTTCTTTAATACCCTCTACATTGACCTCACTGGTGCAAAAAATATTAGTTTGCTGGTGAAAATTCACCTCGAGTTACTAAATATCTAACTTTCCCATAACTACCATCTGTTTGTCTCTTGTGGATCTGTTTGCCTAATATTTAAATGACCCATTCTTCCCCACTTTTACGAAAATAGCATTAATTCCCCTTTCACTATTCACACTTCCTTCATCGTCACAGTTTGACCAGCGGTCCAGGGTTTATGATCTCAAGCATGGCCATATATATCTATTTCACTTAAGACTCTGGAAAGAGCATAAAATCAGATGTAACTGTTTCCTATTTCATATAATAGGGAATTCCATCTCTAAAGTTATGACATTTGGCCTTTCAGTGGGTTTTTGTGGTTTTTACTATGGCTGTGCTTAGATTCCTTTTTGAACACTTTTCCAGTGGTTCCACTTGAACACAATCTTTGAGTCACATAGGAGAGGTGACATGATAGAGTGTAAAGCCAGAAAGAGCACGATTTGGATCTCAGCTCAACTGATAGGGATCCGTAGCAAGATACTTCACCTCTCTGAGCCTCAGTTTCCTCATCTGTGCAATGGGAATCGTAACGCCTGCCTCTCAATGTTGTTAAGATTAAATATGTTGGCCGGGCGCAGTGGCTTACGCCTGTAATCCCAGCACTTTGGGAGGCCGAGGAGGGCAGACCACCTGAGGCCAGGAGTTCGAGACCAACATGGTGAAACCCCTGTCTCTACTAAAAATACAAAAATTAGCCAGGCGTGCTGGTGCAAGCCTGTAATCCCAGAAACTCAGGAGGCTGAGATATGAGAATCGCTTGAACCCAGGAGGCGGAGGTTGCAGTGCGCCAAGATCGCACCACTGCACTCCAGCCTGGGCAACAGAGTGAAACTCTGTCTCAAAAAAAAAAAAAAGATTAAATATGTGTACAGTACCTGTACCATGTTAGGCGGTCAGTAAACATTTGTTTAACTAACAACTGATAAGGATAGTAAAGAAGTATCAGAACACCCACCTAGTTATCCCAAAGGGCAGGAAGAGTGCTAGGTAATGGATATAGAATTCCTTTTAGAGTCAAATTACACGGGCAAAGATCAGCCCCTCCTTCAATTAAAAAGCCAGGGGCAGGGCGTAATAAGGAAGTGGTTCTCCTTCTTTAAGCCTCTTTTCAGGCTGAGTCCTAAACCTGAAGAAAGTTTAGAGCCTGGGGCTCTAAACTACCTGAGTCTTTCCAAACGACAAGCCAAGAAGACCTGTTGAAAGTTTCCTCTTAAGTTTCGTGGAGAGAGACTCAGGTATAGAAATATCCTTACTGCCACCTGACCTGAAGCAGAAGAAATCACAGACAGCTTCCAGACCAGGTAACACCAGGAGGCACCAGTCTTCATCCTCAGCCTTTGCAGGAGGACACAGCCTGGTCTTTAGCTGTTTGCCAAATGAGGCAGTCTAATTCAGGGAGCTCTTTACTGGGTTTATTACAAAGTTCTTATCATGTAAGTCTCAGGACACAAAATGACATTGAGAATCTAGTTTAGCGGGGTTTCCAGGAAAGACGAAGAAAGGTTATTTAGGTTTCTCTTTCATTTCTCTTTTGCTACAAAGGGTTTGGGACATTCAGTTAAGAACACATTACTGGTTGAGGTATGTGACGTTACTCAGTCTTCTCTGCTTATGTATCTGGGGAGGTATGCAATGACATGACAGCCATTCCGTGGCCAGGGACACCACTGCCCAAGCTGGAGACCACGAGGATTCAGGGACTGAAGCCAGCATGGGAATTCCTGGTTTGAGATCAGAGTCCTGAGTACCTCGTGGGAACTTGGGCACTCATCCGCAGGAGGTCTAGACCCCCAGAGAATTCCTTGAGTCTAAGGCACAGGTAAATGGAAGACCCTTCTCTCTCCTCTCTCCCCTCTAGAAAGCTCCCTCCTCCCTGAGCTCCCTGTCCCCTTCTTTCCACAATCAGAGCCTCGGACCTTCTGTTTGGTGAATATGACCTGAGGCTCTGTCTAGCATTCAGCTTCTATTGTGGGAAGTTAAGGCACTTTCTCTCATTCCTCATTTCACCTTTAGTATTAAAGAACAGTCCAGGCAGAAGGCACGAAGAGCCTGAGAGGTCTGAAGTGAGGGGGAGAGGAGAGGGGCAGAAGGGGAGGCTCCGGACAACAGAACCAAGCTGAGCTTAGGATGTGCTGTGGGAGGCTCCGTGGGGATGAGTGTCAGTGCCCACGAGATCCACTCAGGCCTCAACTGTGTGTCCTGAGCACATGAAGTCAGCTCTTCTGCTGGGACAGCCACCAAGGGATTCTCCACACCCCTCACCGCTGGGACAGGCAGAGGCACAGCGAACCAGGTGTCCAGCGTAACTGGGGCACTGGGTGGTGGCCGCCTCTGTGTGTGGAAACACGAGGTGCTTGCTGCAGTTTCCTCTGTGTGCTTATCCGTTAGCTGCCACCCACCGGGAGGGAAGTGAAATCTCACCTCAACAAGTGAGTCCGCAGAGCGAGAACCGTGCGACAGTGCGTCTGCCAATACCTGGAATGTAGGTGTTCGTTGCAGTGTGGCCTTCCCAGCCGGCCTCTCAGCACACCCGGCCAGGCAGCCAGTGTTCCCAGAGGACACGCTGGGGCCAGACGTGGAGGACCCCGGCCACCTCGGGGAGGGAAAGAGACCAAGAAAAGAACCTCTGTAGCCTTGCTTCTGAGAGTGCAGGTTTGTTACAGGTAAGGATCAGGAAGGTAAACATAGGGCAGTGAAGCAGGGTTGTGTCCTCTGCGGCCCTGAATTAGAATAAGCCTCACAGGTCTCACCCAGGAACGGAAATCTCCCCTCCAGGTTCTGAACCAGCATTCAGAGGCCCCACCCAGGGCTTCTGTCAACATAAGCATAAAACTTATGGTTTACCTTTCCATAAACCCCAAAGTTGGGCTTCTTGTATAGAGTACAATTTCTGTAGGAAGAGCTGAAAGCAGAAGGGATCTAACCTGTGATAATACTCGATCGCTGCTGCTTGAAAGTAAGACTTAGCTATACACTGAACAATCAAGTAATTTATAACAAGGATTAGAGGAAACAAAAACTCTGTGTTTGTGTGGGTGGGTTTTTTTTTTTCTTTATTTTTGTTTCTTAAGAGAGTGTCTCCCTCTGCCACCCAGGCTGGAGTGCACTGGCGCGATCATAGCTCACTGCAGCCTCCAACTCCCAGGCTCAAGCGATTCTCCCCCCTCAGCCTCCCAAGTGGCTGGGACTGCAGGTGCACACCACCACGCCCAGCTAATTTTTTTCATTTTTTGTAGAGACGGAGCCAAGGCTGGTCTTGAACTCCTGGGCTTAAGCGATCCTGCTCCCTGGGCCTCCCAAAGTGCTGGGATTACAGGCGTGAGCCACTGGGTCCGGCATCTACATTTGTTAAATACATTAAAACCCTCTTAATCCTTTGTCTCCGTTTGTTCTCTTTTGCTCCCTGCTCTCCAGGCTCTTGTGGCGGAGGCCCCCGCTCCCTCCGCTGTAGGGTAGCCTCCTTCTGGGGCTGGCTCCTGAGCACTGTTCTTTCTCCTCTCTCTCATCCTCTCTCATTCTTAGCTTTGCCTGTCGACTGGGCCAAGTCACAGCCTTTCTGGCCTGTAAGACAACAAAAATCTCACATTTTACTAAATGGAAGGACTAAGTACTCTGTCTTGACTTCAGTGGTTTCCCCGATTTCTGATGTTGCTGCTGAAATAGCATTAGCAAGCTTGTTTCTTAAAGAAGCCCTCTCTCCAGTGACAATACTCCCCCCGCCACACACACACACATGCACACGCACACACAAACATGCATGCACGCGCACACACACACACAATTTTAAAGCCCTCGTGTTATATTAAAAAGGTCTGGATGTTTTTAACATACATGGAAATTTCTTCAGCAGCACAGTGTTACTGGTCTGACGAGGGCGCACAGCCTCCTACCCAAGGACACAGTTCCTGAAGGACCAGGGTGCACATCTGGCCTGCAGTGCCCTGAGCCACTCTGTCCAAAAGGAAGCCTTGAATCAAAAGCCTCATGAATCCTCTCCTGAGAAATTCCATGTCTGGTCTCTTGCTAGACTCAGCCTTTTCCCCACCAAGTCTGCCGCACCTAATTCTGACCTCACCCTGCTTGGTGGCCCGCTTTGCCTGCTTGCACGCACCTCAGGTCTCAGTGTGTCTCAGCAACAGCTTCCCCTCCTAGGGTGGCCAGAGTTAGCAAGCAAGAATGCAAGACAGCCAGTTATGTTTGAATTTCAGATAAATAACAAATATAAGTGTCTTTTAGCATATAATATTTTATTTGGGACATATACTAATATTTATTATATATTAGTCTCATGATATTTGGGACATATACTAAAAAATTATTTGCCCTTTATCTGAACTTCAAATGTGACCAAATGTGTCCTGTATTCTGAATGTGTCTGGCAGTCCTATAATCATTCATTCAGTCAGTCATCAGATATTTGAGCACCTACCATGTATCAAGCACTATTCTAGAGAGCCCGGATAGCTCAGTCAGTAGAGCATCAAGCGCTACTCTAGGTGCTGGGGAAGCCAGCCAAAGTCCCGCCTTCATATCTTACAGTATGTCTACTTTGTTTTTATATACATGTACACTATATATACTTGAAGATATGTACCTTTTTCTTTTTTTCTTTTTATTATTTTTTTTTGAGACAGAGTCTGACTCTATTACTCAGTGCAGTGGCACCATCTCAGCTCACTGCAACTTCTACCTCCTGGGTTCAAGTGATTCTCCAGCCTCAGCCTCCCAAGTAGCTAGGATTACAGGCATGTGCCACCATACCTGGCTAATTTTTGTATTTTTAGTAGAGACAAAGTTTCACCATGTTGGCCAGGCTTGTCTTGAACTCCTGACCTCAAGTGATCTGCCCACCTCGGCCTCCCAAAGTGCTAGGATTACAGGCGTGAGCCACCGCGCCCAGCCCAGATATGTACTTTTTAATGGCAATGTTACCACATTTAATGAGATTATCTTTTTAAAAAATGTTTTAATTTTTAAATTTTAAAAAATAGGGATGGGATCTTACTTTGTTGCCTAGACTGGTCTCCAAATCCAGGTCTCAAGTGATCCTCCCACCTTGGCCTCCTAAGGTGGTGGGATTACAGGTGTGAGCCACGGTGCCAGCCAAGATGATCAATACTTCCTTAATATCATCTAAAACATACACTGTACTGTGTTTAGTTCTCTATCATCTCAAAGATATCTACATCTTTATACAGTATGTTTGAATTACGATTTAATAAAGATCCACTCATGACATCTAATTGATGTCTCTTTTTTTTTAATATGTTTCTTTTTTTTCTTTTTATTTATTTATTTATTTTTGAGACAGAGTCTCCGTGTGTCACCCAGGCTGGAGTGCAATGGCGCGATCCCCGCTCACTGCAACCTTTGCCTCCCAGGTTCAAGTGATTCTCCTGTTGCAGTCTCCCAACTCACTGGAATTACAGGCACCTGCCATCATGCCCAGCTAATTTTTGTATTTTTTTTAGAGACAGGGTTTCACCACGTTGGCCAGGCTGCTCTTGAACTCCTGCCTCCCAAAGTGCTGGGATTACAGGCGTGAACGATTGTGCCCTGCCTGATATGTTTCTATTCTTTCTTTCTTTCTTTCTTTCTTTTTTTTTTGAGACGGAGTTTCGCTGTTGTTGCCCAGGCTGGATGCAATGGCGTGATCTCGGCTCACTGCAACCTCCGCCTCCTGGGTTCAAGTGATTCTCCTGCCTCAGCCTCCCGAGTAGCTGGGATTGCAGGCATGTGCCACCATGCCTGGCTAATTTTGTATTTTTAGTAGAGACGGGGTTTCTCCATGTTGGTCAGGCTGGTCTCAAACTCCCGACCTCTGGTGAACTACCCGCCTTGGCCTCCCAAAGTGCTAGGATTACAGGCGTGAGCCATCGTCCCCTGCCGGATATGTTTCTTATGTCTCTTTTAAGCTGTAGCAGTTCTCTGTCTTCACCTTTTTTTGGCGCCATTTATTTGTTGAAGAAACCGGCCATTTGTCTTGCAGAACTTACCAGATACTGAATTTGGATAGCTGCCTTCTTGTGGTCATTAGTTTATTTCTCTGTCCCCTGTATTTCCTGTAAACTGATCATTAGATCCAGAGGCTTGATCAGATTCGGATCCAATGTTTTTGGATCAGGAGACACATAATGGTTGTCTCACCTTTAGTGAGACCAAGATTGGTCATTGGGAACAGGGAAGTGGAGCTGGGGTGAGTATAGGGTCACCAGATGTCCAGTACAAGCAGAATGGACAGGGCTGTGCTGCAGGATGGATGAGGGGAGGGTGGGATGCCCGGAAAATGCATGGGGGAGGGTGGGATGCCCGGAAAATGCATGGGGGAGGGTGGGATGCCCGGAAAATGCATGGGGGAGGGTGGGATGCCCGGAAAATGCATGGGGGAGGGTGGGATTGGATGGAATTGGGGAGCGGGAAGGGGTAAGTGGAAAAGCAGTAAGGAACATGACCTTCGAGGAGACACTGACGTGACTCCTTACAGAGCAAACGATTTGCATGTAAGTGAAATGCATGTAAGTGAATGTGAAATTGGAGCAGTGGCGGGAAGAAAGATTGTCCAAGCCCTGGAATAAGACAGGAATGTGAAGAAACAGCAGAGGAGGAGGAAGGATTGCAGTCATGACCCCCACTTCATGCCATACTCCTCAAGCATTTGCTTACATCCAGTTATGTGAGGGAGGTTTGCGGGGCTTGGAAGTTGTATAATTGTATCTGTGTAGTTGGTCTGGTGGGTTTTGCAACTTGCCCTTTGCTGCACTGGGAGGGCCATTTTTGTCCCCTCCAGCATCACCTGATGTTGCAGCATAGCCCGCTGCATCCCTCCCAGGCTCACTTCCATCAGAACGCACCTAGCCAGGGACCCTTGCTTTCCTGGGGCCTGGCCAAGGAGCAGTTCCTCAGATCAACAGCTTCGCTATCAGCCAATGTGAGCCTCTTCTAAGTAAAGGAGAGGAGACAGTGATGGAAAAAGGCAGCATCCAGCAGGCCCTCAGGGGAGATATTTCAGCTCCTACACCTCCTTCCAATAGCAGAACCAGGGGGAAAAGTTAGAGAATATCCTTATTCTATCTAACAACTTGGACACCGAGGAACAAAAAGGTGGCGTGACTTGCCCAAGGATGTTGCAGGTTAGAAGCTGAGCCAGCCGTGGCTATCCATCCTTCAGACACCCAGGCCAACTTGTCTGTACCACCTCACATTGCCTCAAACCCTGTCTGCAGTTACTGTCCCATTTCTTTATCATTTGGTCCTGGTATGACAAGGTACAGTGGAAAGAAAAAGAGGAACATGCCAGCCAGTCCCCTTAATATTACTGCAGCTTCTTTATCATCACAGCAGCTTACATGCCGAAAGACCGTCTTAAATTAGGACCAGAAAGGGAAGGGAACATTATTAAGAGCCATATTAAGACAGAGCCTGAGGCCGGGCATGGTAGCTCATGGCTGTAATCTCAGCACTTTGGGAGGCTGAGGCAGGTGGATCACTTGAGCCCAGGAGTTTCGCACCAGACTGGGCAACATAGCGAGACCTTGTCTCTAAAAGACAAAACAAAAAAATTAGCCAGGTGTGGTGGCATGTGCCTGTGTTCCCAGCTACTTGAGGGGCTGAGGTGAGAGAATCCCTTGAGCCGGGGAGGTTGAGGCTGTGGTGAGCTATGATCTGCACTCCAGCCTGGGCAACAGAGCAAAACTGAGTCTCAAAAAAAAAAAAAAAAAGAGAGCCTGGGGCCTAGGACAACAGCTGAACTAGAAAAAAAACATAGCTACCACTTTTGAACCAGGTTCTGTGCAGGAACTTCTCTTGTGTATCTTACACCCTTACAATATCCCTGCAAGATGACTATTATTATTTACAATTTGCCTGCAGGAAGTTCATGTTTGGAGAGATGGAGTAACCTGCCACAGGTCACAAAACTAGTCACTGGCATGGCCACAATCTGAATTTGGGACTGTTAGACTGAGAAGCCCAAGCTAATTCTTGATACGCTCACTGCCTGGGACATTTCACACGGTAGATCTGAGCTTTCTCGCATCTGAGACTAAAAGGAAAATGTAGTCCTTAACAGACAGCAGAAGGAAACAGATTATTAGCAAAAAGAACTGCTTTCCTAGCAGGAAACCAGAGAAGGAGTTATTTCATGTAAGCTCAAGCAAAGGAAATTGAACAAAATCAGTTCTTTATCTATCCTGTTATTCGTATGGAAATAAAGAAGAAATGCTTGCATCCTGTTGTTTTAGTGCTTGTACTGATCTTTTTCAAACATGCCTGTGATCACATCACTCTCTACTCAAAACTTTGAACAGCTCTCCATTGCCTCCATCAGTGTGTTTCAAATTCGTAAAAAGTAAAATAAAATAACAGGATGCTTTTTTCAGATGAAATCTTACATGGCATACCAAATATAGCAAGAAAAAAGAAAGAGAGAGAGAGAGGAGAGAGAAGCCGGGACAAGCTAAAGCAGAGGGTAGAGGGAGAAGGAACCGAGGAAGGGAAGGGTCAGGTCCCAGGCATTTCTCTTCCCTGAATTGGCCTCCCTCTTTTGCCACCTCCCCAGCAAGACCTTTAACTCCACAGTCCACAGCTCATTTTGAAATGTACTGATCAACGTGAGAAAATGCGAAGCTTCAGCCTGATAGTCAAAGACCACCATAATCTGGACCCAAGTGCTAGTTCACTTATTTTCCCTCCACTATTTTCAAGCCCTGGCTATTTGCAAACTGCATACGTATGCTGTCCCAGTTCTCTCACCACTCTTCAAACACATTCTGAATTCACCTATAATCTCCCCTCTGCCCGCCCTGTTGTAGCCCCAATATCCACCCACCTGTCTAACTCCTTCTAGCTTTCCAAAAGCTTTCACTTGCCTCTTTCTTTGAAGCTCACCTATCCCTGCCTTCTAACCTGGCTATCTGCATCTCTGTTAGACCTCTTACTTAGTTCATTAGTTCATTCTCTCTCTGTTGTTTTTTGTTTTTTGAGACGGAGTCTCACTCTGTCGCCAGGCTGGAGTGCAGTGGCGCAATCTCAGCTCACTACAACCCCCGACTCCTGGGTTCAAGCGATTCTTCTGCCGCAGCCTCCCAAGTAGCCGGGTCTACAGGCGTGCGCCACCATGCCTGGCTAATTTTTGTATCTTTAGTAGAGACGGGCTTTCACTGTATAGGCCAGGCTGGTCTTGAACTCCTGACCTCATGATCTGCCCGCCTTGGCCTCCCAAAGTTTTGGGATTACAGGCGTGAGCCACCGCACCCGGCAGTTCATTTTCTTTATGTGGAGTTATCTATGGCCATGTCTCTCTTCCCACCCTAGTAAGACTGTGGCTTTTCCCTCTCTACCCTCCAGCACAAACACAATAGATGTTCAATAAATGTTTCCTGAGTTTTCACCCCTGTCTCTCCTAACCTGCAAAGGGTAAGTGGCCCTGCATAGAAGGGCACAGTGTGGACTTTGTTGTTACAGGCCCAACATGTGTAGCACCAGTGGGTGTGACCTGGAAGAAATCCCCCTAGATGATGATGACCTAAACACCATAGAATTCAAAATCCTCGCCTACTACACCAGACATCATGTCTTCAAGAGCACCCCTGCTCTCTTCTCACCAAAGCTGCTGAGAACAAGAAGTTTGTCCCAGAGGGGCCTGGGGAATTGTTCAGCAAATGAGTCATGGACAGAGGTGTCATGGCCTTGCAGAAATTCCCAATCCAGTGAGAAGGCCATAAACCTTGGCAAGAAAAAGTCTTCTTGGAAAGCATTCTTTGGAGTAGTGGAGAAGGAAGATTCGCAGAGCACGCCTGCCAAGGTCTCTGCTCAGGGTCAAAGGACGTTGGAATACCAAGATTCGCACAGCCAGCAGTGGTCCAGGTGTCTTTCTAACGTGGAGCAGTGCTTGGAGCATGAAGGTAGGCATCTGGGATTTCTTTCTCTCCCGCTTCCTGGTTTTTCCCTTCTTTGTGTCCAGAGTGGTACATCTCTTCTCATGTTGTAAAGTGGCTTTAGAGAAGGCATGCGTTGTGCCTCAGCTTTCCAACTTATTAGTGTTCAATCATAATTGCCCTGCTTTTCTCAAGACTAAAAGGAGTTGCTGCCTGGGCGCGGTGGCTCACGCCTGTAATCCCAGCACTCTGGGAGGCCAAGGCGGGTGGATCATGAGGTCAGGAGATTGAGACCATCCTGGCTAACACGGTAAAACCCCGTCTCCACTAAAAAATACAAAAAATTAGCCGGGCGTGTTGGCGGGTGCCTGTAGTCCCAGCTACTCGGGAGGCTGAGGCAGGAGAATGGCGTGAACCCAGCAGGCGGAGCTTGCAGTGAGCCAAGATGGCATCACTGCACTCCAGCTTGGGTGACAGAGTGAGACTCCGTCAAAAAAAAAAAAATGACTAAAAGGAAATGATGGAAGTTAAGGGTGCTGGGACTGGTTTTCTTTCTCCACTGTCTATAAATAAGCTTGTTTCCCAAATTCCTAGTCCTCTGTACCAGACACCAATATAAAAGAAGGAGGCTAGGCGCAGTGGCTCATGCCTGTAATTCCAGCACTTTGGAAGGTTGAGGTGGGCAGATCATAAGGTCAGGAGTTCAAGACTAGCCTGGCCAACATAGTGAAAACCCGTCTCTACTAAAGATACAAAAAATTAGCCGGGCATGGTGGCGCATGCTTGTATTCCCAGCTACTCGGGAGGCTGGGGCAAGAGAATCGCTTGAACCTGGGAGGCGGAGGTTGCAGTGAGCCGAGATTGCATCACTGCACTCCAGCCTGAGCTACAGGGTAAGACTTTGTCTCAAAAAAAAAAAAAAAAAAGAACGAGCCCTAACCAGGGGCTTGCTTGGGCTGCCTGGGCCGCTGCTCTTCCTAAGTCAACTCATTCGCTCAGGGCCTCTGTGTTTCCATCTGTACATTGGGTACCCCACTCTCTCCACCTCGTATGGTTGATGGGAAGATCAGAGAGCAAGAGTAAAAGGACTCTTGACAAAGTACAAACCATCCTACAAAAACAACTGAGAAGCATTTAGACAAAATCTTCCCTCAGTTGGACAAAATTAATTGTACTTAATGAAACATTTTCACCAGGCACTGAGGCTCATACCTGTAATCCCAGCACTTTGGGAGGCCAAGGTGGGTGGATCGGTTGAGCTCAGGAGTTCAAGACCAGCCTTAGCAACATGGCAAAACCCTGTCTCTACCAAAAAATACAAAAAAATTAGTCAGACATGGTGGTGCACGCCTGTGGTCCTGGCTACTCGGGAGGCTGAGGTGGGAGGATGGCTTGAGCCTGGGAAGTAGAGGTTGCAGTGAGCCAAGATGATGCCACTGCACTCCAGCCTGGGTGACAGAGTGAGAGCCCATCACGTCGATACTCTCAGCACTGTGGGAAACCAAGGCAGGAGGATCACTTGACACCAAGAGTTTGAGATCAGCCTGGCATCATAGCAAGACCCTGTCTCCATTAAAAAATTAAAATAAAAAAATTAGCGAGGCATGGTGGCACATGCCTGTTGTCCCAGCTACTATGGAGGCTGAGGTGGAAGGATCACTTGAGCTCAGGAGGTCAAGGCTGCAGTGAGCGAAGATCACATCACTGCACCCCAGCTCTGGGTGACATAATGAGACTCTGTCTCCAAAAAAAAAAAAAAAAAGACAGTTGCCCTTCATGCGCACACCTTGGCATAAGCATCTTCTTCCCCTTCAACAAAGCCCAGTGCCCAAAGCCCAGATTTTTTTTTTTTTTTTAAGGTGTTTTAGATGGAGTCTTGCTCTGTCGCCCAGGCTGGAGTGCTGTGGTGTAATCTCGGCTCACTGCAAGCTCCGCCTCCCAGGTTCAAGCAATTCTCCTGCCTCAGCCTCCTGAGTAGCTGGGATCACAGGCGCGCACCACCAGGCCTGGCTAATTTTTGTATTTTTAGTAGAGACAGCGTTTCACCATGTTGGTCAGGCTGGCCTCGAACTCCTGACCTCGTGATCTGCCCACCTTGGGCTCCCGAAGTGCTGGGATTACAAGTGTGAGCCACTGCACCCAGCCGCAAAGCCAGATTTTAAAAGAAAGGCCCCCTCCTGCTGAGTTTCATTGGCCTGGGTAACTTGTCAATAATTAGTCAAGAGGTGGCAGTAATGTCTCAGTTTTTAAATGTGACAGTCCTGGCTTGCTTGGAGAATCAGCCCACTCATAGACAGCTTTAGATCACTCACTATGATCAAGGAAACTCCCTTTTCCCATTAGAGTTTCAGATGTTTAGAACAGTGGGAGTTATGGTCAGGATCATCTGAGGGAACCTCATGGCACAGACAGGATGAGGAAATGGGAGTCCCACAAAAAGGGCTTACCAAGGAAACATCCAGGAAGTAGCAGAGCCTGGACTCACCAGAAGTCCAGGCCTCTCCCTAGACTTGTTTCATTTTTACAGCAAGGCATCTGCTCTCTGAACTCTGCCCAGCTAGGGCAGGTCTAGGGCAAGAGGGAGCGGCCCCCTGTGGTCCTTCCCTCCACATCTGCCTCCCCACCCCTCAGCTGCCCTCACCCAGCCATGGCTTCTTCTGCCGGGGGTGGCATCTGGGCTCTGGGGCAAAGAACAGTTTGGAGGCACCTAAATAGGCTTTTCTACTTGGCCTGTACTGTGGACTTTGCCAGCAGACAGAGAAAGCTTTTACAGACCTTAGTCTTCTGGTTTTTCCTGAGATAAATTGCATTCTGTATTTCAGTATTTACTGGAGTGTCATTTGACATTTTTTTTATTTTCTAAAATTTCAAGAGAAGCTTTTATTTCTTTTTTCAGTAGGGAAAGAAAACTTTTATGTGAGATTGAGAATTAAAGATTACATTCAAAAACACTTAGGTGATGTGTTAATGTGCTGAATAGCTGAATAGTACCTATGGCTGAATAATATTCTCCATAAAAAATGAAAAATGATTACCTCCTAAGAAGGCTTTAAACACATATTTACAGCTTATCTTCCCTTATCACCTTTCTCCTCACGCTTGCATTTAGTCAGTTAATTGTGTGTTTTTTACTTGTGTTACTTGTGTCGGTTTTACATTGAGCGTGATCCAAGAGAGCCTCACATTCTATTTCTATTTTGCCACATACAAATCAGGCCTTGCAAATTTGGTTTCTCCTGGGTTCTTTTTTGTTTGTTTGTTTGTTGTTTTTGAGACAGAGTCTTGCTCTGTCACCCAGGCTGGAGTGCAGTGGCCTGATCTCGGCTCACTGCAACCTCTGCCTCCTGGGTTCACACCATTCTCCTGCCTCAGCCTCCCGAGTAGCTGGGACTACGGGCGCCCACCACCACGCCCGGCTAATTTTTTGTATTTTTAGTAGAGACAGGGTTTCATCGTGTTAGCCAGGATGGTCTCGATCTCCTGGCCTCGTGATCTGTCCGCCTCAGCCTCCCAAAGTGCTGGGATTACAGGCGTGAGCCACCGTGCCTGGCCTCACCTGGGTTATTTTAACTGTAAGTCACTATGTAGCCTTGTACAGCCACTGCCAGGCCTCAGTACCGGGCTTACATGGGAACTGTGAGATTATGTCCCAAGACCAAACTCTGTTAGGAAGAGGCCTCAGGATGCAGAGAAATGGACAATAACACCAGTTTTAAAGACTACCAACCCAGGCTCTTTCACTTGTGAATCTTTTGTTTCTCCATAGCTACGATTTGCTCACGTGGAATGTTATAGTTAAGGTGAGGTTCAGCGATATACAGTGGAACACTCAAATACCCATGGCTTAAATAATATACAGGTTTGCTTTTCTCTCCTTTAAAAGAGGACAAAAGTTTGGCAGCTCAGGCATGATATGACAGCTCCACAAAGTTATTAAGAATTTCTGGGAATGGCCAGGCAGGGTGGCTCATGCCTATAATCCCAGCCCTTTGGGAGTCTGAGGTGGGCAGATCACTTGAGCCAAAGAGTTTGAGACCAGCCTGAGCAACATGACAAAACCCCGTCTCTATTAAAAAAAATACAAAAATTAGCCAGGCGCCATGGTGCGCGCCTGCAGTCTCAGCTACTCGAGAGGCTGAAGGAGGAGAATCACTTGAGCCTGGGAGGCGCAGGTTGCACTGAGCTGAGATCACACCATTGCACTCCAGCTTGGATGACGGGGTGAAAAAAAGAATTCCTGGGAATTCTGCCATCCCTCAGCTCGTGGCTTCCACCTCAAAGTCACCTTATATTCTAAAGGTGGCTGTTGGGGCTTCACCCATCATGTCTACATCTCAGGCAAGAATAAAAAGGAAGCAAAGGAAGGGCAAAGGGTGCCTTCTTTCTAGGTAATTCAGCTCCCTTTTATTTTATTATTATTTTTTAATCTTTTGTAAAGATGGGGTCTGTGTTACCCAGGCTGGTCTCGAACTCCTGGCCTAAAATGATGGCCTCGCCTTGGCCTCCCAAAATGCTGGGATTACGGGCGTGAGCCACCGCACCCAGCCTTAGCTCCCTTTTCGAGAGCTTTCTTGAAACTGCCCCCAGCTTCTGACATCTCATTGGCCCTTCCCTACTGCAAGGGAGCCCAGGGAATATAGTTTGTTCAGCTGGGTTCATTGCTGCCCCTCACATTTTAGAGGTCTGTTACTAAGGAAGAAGAAGAAAGTGGATACTGAGTGGGAAAGAGCAGTCCATAAGGAAGTCACACCCCAACCCCCTGCCCTTTCTCTTTAAAACAAATGCCTCAGACCACAGGCGAAATGGGACCTTCCGACCCTGTTGGCCTGCTCTTCCTGGCGCCACGATGACCCCCAAAACAGACTCCAAGGAACAGACAGCCTTTCTGTCTTCTCCCCACCCCATCCAGTGTTCCCTCGCCTATCAGACAGGACCAAGTCTGACAAGGATATAATCTTTTCTTTTTCATGTTTTAAAATTAAAATATCCAAGATGGGAATTTTAACTAGAGCTAGTGCATCTGTGGGAACATGTTTGCTTATAGTTTCTCCTGGACATGTCTCACTCCATGTCCACAAACCCACAGAAATCAATACCCTGCTGTAACCCCAGCACTTTGGGAGGCTGAGGCAGGAGGATCACCTGAGGTCAAGAGTTCAAGACCAGCCTGGCCAACATGGCAAAACCCTGTCTCTACTGAAAATATACAAAAATTAGCTGGACGTAGTGGCGGGAGCCACTACGTCCTGTAATCCCAGCTACACAGGAGGCTGAGGCAGAGAGAATGGCTTGAACCCAGAAGGTGGAGGTTGCAGCGAGCCGAGATCGTGCCATTGCACTCCAGCCTGGGCAACAGAGCGAGACTCCGTCTCAAAAAAAAAAAAAAAAAAAAAGTCAATACCCTGTACACAGTTAGCCAGATTGAGTAATTTTGTACCTGTTGGTGATCTTGTGGCCACCCTGCCTTATGAGAGGAGGAGGGGACAGAGCCTTTGGGACCCTTCATGGAGCTTCTTAATGTGCAAGATGGGCACAGGGTGCTTTCTGGTGGTAGAACCGCATGCTGATTACCCTAGATGAGCTGCACAAGGTTGAAAAGGCAGCAGAGGCCTGCTTTCCTTTCTCATCTCCTGAGGACATGGCCAGGGAAGTTTCCCTTGGCTTTGGAAGATAGCCTCTTGCCATTTCTTTCTTTGCCAGGGGCCATGGGTGGCCAGAGTTCCAGCGGAGGCCGGCTGGGCTGCAATAAGGGGATTACAAAGTGGAAAGTCTGTTTCGCTTGGTTCTTAAAAAACGAGGAGGAAAGACATTGATCCTTTTCTTCTTGATCTTTCTTCTCTCCGTCATTCGCTTCTTATTGGTTTTTGAACCCTGTGGACTAACCATGGAAAAGATGGCTTTATGAGTCAGATGTCCACCAGAGGATGGCATCATGGACAGAGCAGTATCTTCTGTGGCCTTTCCGTGAATGGCTGGAGGGCTGAAGGGAGGACACTGAAGCCTTCAGCTTGGAGGAATCCAGGGAGAGGGATCAGGAGCCACCTTGGCAGCTGCATATGATGTCAAAACCTGTTTCTCTTGTGGCTCAGTCCCTCCCAGGCCCCCTACTTGCCTCTCTTACCTCCAGTGCTGTACAAAGCCCAGAAGTGCCCTAGGAGTTTGAGCACACCAACCTTCTGTCCAAAACGCCACTCCATTACTGTCTTCAAGTCCTGTGAATTACCTAATGTTAGTCTTCAAATGTTACATGGTAAAACCCAGCTGCTCCACACGGCATCCAAGACAGCTTGTACAAGCTTTTAAAAGTTTAGGATTTAGGTTGGGTGTGGTGGTGGCTCATCCTTGTAATCCTAGCACTTTGGGAGGCTGATGTGGGAGGATTGCTTGCGCTTAGGAGTTCAAGAACAACCTGGGCAACATAGGGAGACCTTATCTCTAGAAAAAGAATTTTAATAAATTAGCCAGGCGTGGTGATGCACACCTGTCATCCCAGCTACTCAGGAGGCTGAGGTGGGACAATCGCTTGAGCCTGAGAGATCCAAGCTGCAGTGAGCTGTGATCACACCACTGCACTCCAGCCTGGGTGACAGAGTGAGACTCTGTCTGGAAAAAAGTAAATAAACAAATAAAAGGTTAGAACTTAGTGACAAATCAACAGTGAAAATTTTACCACCCAGCAACTCAGCCATGCCATCTGCCCACCCCACCTCCCCTCTTCCCCACTCAGGGGCAAAGGCGACTGGTCTCTTATAGGCTACAACACTCACTGGGCCAATGCCATTTCACCGTCCTATCTCAAAGTGCTTTATTCTACAATTCTGTATGCAAATACATGACGTAACTCTTTTCTCAGCTTGTAAATTCTTGAAGGCCGTAAGTTGTGCTGACTGCATCCTTGTTTACCTATAAGCATTCATTGAATGTTTTCCAGTAGACATGGAGAGGAGAGAAGAGGCAGAACTGTACCAGCAACGGGAGTTAGGTGTTCACTTGATAATGGACTTGGATGATGAATCTCATTGCCCTGAGAGCAGGGATATTTCTTTCTTCAGTGACCAACCCCGAAATGCTTGTCAAATTATCGAATGTCCTCCTATGCATGTAGGGGCTGGCTCTTAGAGGTATAAAGCATGTCGAGAAAAAAGAATAAAAATAAAAGCATAATGAGCATTCCTTCAAGTAAAGAGCTAAGCACTCCTTTTTGTGTCTCTTCCCTTGCAAAGGGGAAAGGAGACCCTAATTTTGCAAGACTTCAAAAAGAGTGTGCAGAAGGCCAATTGTTTCAAGGTGACAATCATTCCTGCATGCACCCCTCCCACATCCCGGCCTCTGCCAGGCAACTTTCAGTCCTTTCTGAAGAATGACCCTCCCCCAGCACACATACTCCCAGGCAGTTTCCTTCTATTCTGGCCTGGTCTTTTCATTCCAGGCAACTTTGCATACCAATGAGCCAGATGAAGTTCTGGGAAGGGCCTCTCAGCACCATTTTGTCTTGTTTCAGCTGTGGACCCCAAAGTCATTTCCATTGCCAACCGAGTAGCTGAAATTGTTTACTCCTGGCCACCACCACAAGCGACCCAGGCAGGAGGCTTCAAGTCCAAAGAGATTTTTGTAACTGAGGGTCTCTCCTTCCAGCTCCAAGGCCACGTGCCTGTAGCTTCAAGTTCTAAGAAAGGTAAGCTTTCCTTCCCTGGGTGGAGTGTTTGCCAGGCAGGGGCGCAGGAGCATTTGTGTATTTATCCATCCCAGGGCTCGGCAACTTGACAGTCTCCGCTGCCTGGACTGAGGGCTTGACAGCCACAGGCTGTGGGCAATGAGCTCCAGCTTGAGACACCAGCCCAAGGCAAGGGGGCTGCCCCAGCAGGTTGAAAAAACATTCCCAGCTCTCTGCTAAGTAAGAAAGGAAAGTCTCCTACAGAGGGAGAGGAGGAAACACAAAGCCCGCATTCAGCCTTGTCTGTGGCGGAAAATGCAATGTTAGATCTGATCATGTTACCAGTGACCCTGGGCCAATTTGCATCAGGTACAGTTGGAGCGTCAAGCCAGGGATTTATATTATAACATTGCTTTAGGGCTTTGTGAAAAAGCAGGGGTTGTCAGGCACCAGCTATGGTGCAAGACATGGAGCAGAACTGAGAAGTAGTGACAAGGCTGGGTCAGTTGTCACCCAAACCATAGCAATAGCTGAGACTGTAGATCCCATCAGGCTGGTGGTAACTCAAGGCACTGAGGGGAGAGTCAAGGGGAGCAAAGCCAAGTGCCACTGGAAGAGAAGCTCTGCCCGGCATTCCCCCACCACAGTTCTTGCTCCTGGCTCCCTCCACAAACTACAGTGGAGGTTGTGATGACGCAGCCTCATTGTCTGGGATAAATACGTGAGGTTCGTTGTCTCATGCCAAGGGAATCGAGGACATGGACACACACAAGAAGTGAGTTTAGCGGCAGAGGTTTAATAGGCAAAACAAAGAGAAAGGAGAACAGCTCTCTCTCCTGCGACAGAGAGGGGAACCCAAATGTGACTTCTGGCCTGCGACAGAGTGCACCGGATTTTATAGACAGGTTTGAGGAGGTGGTGTCTGATTTACATAGGATCCAAAGATCAGTTGAACCAGGTGTGACGTTTACATAGCATGGGGGAAGCTGGCCACCCCACCCTCATCTTATTACGCAAGTGGGCTTTCCACTTGCCCAGCGCCATGTTGTCTGCTCCCTAGGGCACACGTGGTTGGAAAGGAAAAGGGAAAATGCGGCCGCCATGTTGGACATGCCTAGTCCCAGGTGGCCTTTTCCTATTGGCACAGCTGCCAACATTCACTGTGCAAGCTTTTAGCTTGCTTGTCTATGTCTGCAGCTCAATTTTACAGGCTACTCTTTGTTAGAAAAGAAAATGATTTGGGGCTGCTTTTCATTAAAAGGAAAACCTTCCCGAGAACTTCCTTACCCTCACTATCTGCCTAAATCATTTCTTTTTAACTCCTCTAACAGTGAGGCCAAGGTGGATCTTGGGTTTGCACCTCCCTAAAGAACAAGGTGAAGGTTCTCCCTCCAAAGGTATCCGTGTCTCCCAACCCCGATGCAGAGCGGTAGCCACACTAAAGGGGCCACAGCTGCCACAGAGGCTCAGGGGACCGTGTGAAGAGCTGGAGGAGAGGAGGAGGCCTCTGAGTCTGCTAAAAAAAAACAGTGTGACATTTTATTACTATCCCACATGGGCTTGGGAGATGGAATGCCACCCCTAAACCAAGCTAAAGCTAAGATGACCTCATCCTCTGTGCACAGGAGAAATACAGGCAGCTGTGCCAGCAACTTTCCCTAAGAGAGTGTTAACCCAATATATCGAGACAGATCTTACTCAGTGTAGAACTTTTATTTTGGCCGGGAGCGGTGGCTCGTGCCTGTAATCCCAGCACTTTGGGAGGCCAAGGCAGGTGGATCGCCTGAGGTCAGGCGTTCAAGACCAGCCTGGCCAACATGGTGAAACCCCTTCTCTACTAAAAATACAAAAAAATTAGCCAGGCATAGTGGCAGGTGCCTATGATCCCAACTACTGGGGAGGCTGAGGCAGGAGAATCGCTTCAACTGGGGAGGCTGAGGTTGCAGTGAGCCAAGATTACGCCATTGCACTCCAGCCTGGGTGACAAGAGTGAAACTCCATCTCAATAAAAAAAAAAAAAAGTAGAAGAAGAAGGTTTATTTTGCCAAGCCTGGGCACGGTGGCTTACGTCTGTAATCCCAGCACTTCGAGAGGCCGAGGCGGACGGATCTCTTGAGGCCAGAAGTTCAAGACCAGCCTGGCCAACATAGCAAAACCCTATCTCTACTAAAAATACAAAAAAATTAGCCGGGTGTGGTGGCACACACCTGTAGTCCCAGCTACTCGGGAGGCTGAGGCAGGAGAATCACTTGAACCTGGGAGGTGGAGGTTGCAGTGAGCCAAGATCGTGCCACTGCACTCCAGCCTGGGTGACAGAGCAAGACTCACATACTCCACTGCACCCTGTCCCCCCAACACACACCATACACCAACCGTGGCCACGTTCCTATCCATCTGCCCTTTTAGCCTTGGCCATAGGGGAATTTATTAATTTTACTTATTTATATCCCACCTTATTGTCAAGACCCAGCATACAAAGAATAAATTTTAGTCAGATAAAATCCATCAATCTGAAAGATATCTTTGTAAAAAGAAAACAAAAACAGGAAAATAAGACGGATTTGGGAATTAGGTTAATTTCCAAAATGTAGGCCAGCAAGACTATCCACTCTCTTAGATATGGGCCACAAATTTGGCTCTATACTTTCTAGCAACTAACCCAAAGAGTGAAATATAATCAAATATGAGATTTATGGTGTCCATAAGATAAAAGCACCATCTGCTGAGGAAAAATCCAAAAACCAGAAGAATATTCCCCCTAAATATCTTCATAGACAGAATCCTGTGCTGTGAAACCGATGTCTTCAACAACAAGCTTAAGGTAACTACAGCGATGAATTTCACAGTGAGAGCTGGGGGACTGAGCAAAGGAAGAAGGGGAAAGAAGGAAAGGAAGGGGCTGTAGGAGAAATCCCTAGTATGGTTTGTGTCTGGGCAGAAGAGGCGAGGTAAGATTTACTTGATAAGAATGAACATGCTTCTTGCCAGGCACAGTGGCTCATGCCTGTAATTCCAGCACTTTGGGAGGCCGAAGTGGGTGGACCACCTGAGGTCAGGAGTTTGAGACCAGCCTGGCTAACATGGTGAAACCTGGGTTTCTAGTAAAAATACAAAAAAATTAGCCAGGCGTGGTGGCACACGCCTGTAATCCCAGCTACTTGGGAGACTGAGGCATGAGAATCTCTTGAACCTGGGAGGCAGAGGTTGCAGTGAGGCAAGATCGCACCATTGCACTACAGCTTGGGCAACAAGAGCAAAACTCTGTCTAAAAAATAAAAAATAAAAAAAAAAAAAAGAATTAGCATGCCTCTTCCTCCAGCCCTTACCAAGCCACAAGCATTCATTGTCCCTGGAAAAATGTAAGATTATTTTTTGCTTCTCTTAAAAGAAATAACTGGAATTTTCCCCGACAGATGAAGAAGAACAAATACTAGCCAAAATTGTTGAGCTGCTGAAATATTCAGGAGATCAGTTGGAAAGAAAGGTATGGAACACCTTGAACTGATGCGATTGATTTCTGTGCCCATGCACTAGTACACGAGAATGGAATTGTATTCCAGGTTGCAACCTTATTCCCTTTCTAAGTCCTGGTTTCTACTTAGTCCTAAATTTTATTTCCCTTGGAGTCAAAATTCTTCATGCTGGTAGAATCTCAAAAATGAGTCACTTTGGAAAACATAAGTAAACCTTCTGGAGCCTCCTTGGAATTTTTGGAAACTAAAAAAGAAACTTGTTATTGCAAGAAAAGACACCAGTAAATTAAAATTTGCTGGATGGAATTATTAATCTCATTCCCCATGTAACTGATCCTCATTGAAGTTTAGACTCGCATTTGCTTTGCAGCCTGGATATCTGTGTCCCACAGTTGCTCCAAAGCTGGAATACTTTCTGGAATCTTTTTCCCCTGTAGTTGCTGGACTGTTGCCTGTTTAAGGGCTCTCTTAGCAGTTCAGCCAGGGAGGTGCGCTAGTGTTACTGGGAGAATGTATGGATTTCCTGCCATTTGGAAGTTGAGACCCATCTTTCCAATCAGGAACGGGTGAGAGTTGCCTTCAGGTAAACAGTTGGTGAGCAAACCTTCAACAGAGTCAAAAGGGCTTCTCTATGCCTCCTGGGTCCATAACCCACAGACGACTGAGTAGTCTCTAGAATCTGTCAATCAGGGGCTGGCTTGCAGACATAGACCCTTGTTTTTCCAGAATCTGTGGGGAGGGAGTCAGACCCTGGGGGTGGGGATGGGAGGTTCTGCAGGAAGACAAACAGCTCCTGTCTATAGCTTTGTCAAAAGTGTGCCCAGAGGCTGGTGACCCAGAGGGCGAAGCACCTGGGAGATGGGACAGAATGAGAAACAGCGAGAAAACCAGGGATATTAGGTTAAAGAAAAGAGAACGGGGTGTGTGAGCTTTGGGACCACAAGTAGAGGGTGGAGAGGGGTGCAGAGGAAGCAAGAGATGGAACAGGATCATGATTTAAGGGCACCCCTGCATTTCTCCAGAGCTAGTGTCATGGATACACAAATTATGCCTAGTATGGGGTGATTGATTTCTCCTTATGGTAAGAATGAACCTCCATTCCTGGAGAATAGGCATTCCAGGCTGCCCATGAGAGTCAACGGGTGCCTTGTGAGAGAATGATCTTCCTGTCACGGGAAGAATTGCAAGTAGGTGCCAATACCAGTTAGCATTTCAGCACAGAACTCCGAGGGGTCCTTTAGACAACCTCAAGGGCTCTTTACAACTCAGAGTTTCTGTGGCTCTCACGGCAACCTCCTTCCCAGCTTCCCTAAGCAGGGACTTGTGGTCATTGGTCAGGGAGGTGGGAAAGGCGGAGTGGGGGTGCTGGAGGTGGGACGAAGGCCACCGATCTCAGGTTATGAAGAGCGATGGTTTCATTTTCACCCCCACAAATTACCACTTTCAAAAACCTCACTTTGCCTGGTGCTCTCTCTTAAGGAGTTTGGACATTTTACATTGCTTATGGCAAAGCCTTGGTTGTTATTTCCTTTACATGCTTCCCCAGTAGGGAGCTCTGCTAGAGACACATGGTAGGTGTGACCTTGTGCTGGGCGGGTGCCAAGCTCCCACTGCAGAGTGCCGTGTGTGTGGCTGCAGGGGATCTGCAGAGCCGCTGGTCCCAAGAGCACACACAGCCCGAAGGCCCATCCTACACCTCCAGGAGAGGCCAAAGAGCCAGGTGCACCCGAGAGGGACAGGCAGGGGAGGGGTGAGGAGGTGCCAGTGGAAGCCCTGTCTTTGTGGCGTTTGATTCTTTTACTGTTCTGGCACAGTCCCCACTTGGCTGCCTGCTAGGGTTTTGAGCCTGGCCTCCTCCATTGGGAAACTGATGAAGAGGAGTCTGTTCCCTGTTATGGAGGAGGCTGGCCATGCCTCCTGCAGAGTCACAACCCAGACGGGGCCTGGACGGTGGGGGTGGGCGTGGTTCAGGGAAAAGACAGGTCTGCCAAAATCTCCCAATCGCATCTGACTCATCCCCCAGATATCCCTTTTAGAAACAATATTTGTTGAAAACCCGCTTGGCTTATCATTCCTCTAGGACAGAACTAGAGGATTTTCAAATAAATATTTTGTCCCTGCTCACTCAGAAATTTCCGTTTTCACATGACAACCAGCATATTAACAGACATTGCAAGAATGCTTTAAATGAAGATGATATATAGCTTTTTGATATGAGCCCTGATTTTTCAAAAGCAGAAGAGGCAGCATTGATTTTGTTTTAAAGGCGTGGTAGTTCAAAGGAGGTAAAGCAGAGAGATACCAGGTTCAAGGGAAGGCCGGGAGGTAAAATCAATAGGGTAGAATAATGGGAAAGAAATCAATGAATTGGAGTTTTTTTAAGTGAACATTGCATGCAAGGGAGTCTTCCCTGACCTCCATGCTCCCGTAGCATCCTGAAAAATGACTCGCATTTCCAAAGCACCTCTTCTATGTCCAGCACTATAAAGTGTTCAACTACCCTATAGTATAGGGCCAAGCACAGTGGCTCACACTTGTAATCCCAGCTCCTGGGGAGGCCGAGGTGGGAGGATCGCTTGAGGCCAGGAGTTTGAGACCAGCCTGGGCAATATAGTAAGCCTTGTCCCTAAAAAACAATAATAATAAAAGTTTCTTAAGAAAATGAAGGCTGGGTACGGGCACAGTGGCCCACACCTGTAATCCCAGCACTTTGGGAGGCCGAGGCAGGTGGATCACCTAAGGTTAGGAGTTCAAGACCAGCCTTACCAACATGATGAAACCCTGTCTCTACTAAAAATACAAAAATTAGCCGGGTGTGGTGGTGTGTGCCAGTAATCCCAGCTACTTGGGAGGCTGAGACAGGAGAGTTGCTTGAACCTGGGAGGCGGAGGTTGCAGTGAGCTGAGATCGCGCCTCTGCACTCCAGTCTGGGCAAGAGAGTGAGACTCCATCTCAGAAAAAAAAAAAAGAAAGAAAGAAAAGAAAAGAAAATGAAGACTGGGTGCAGGGACTCATGCCTGTAATCCCAACACTTTGGGGAGGCTGAGGTGGGTGGATCGCTTAAGCCCAGGAGTGGGCAACATGGCGAAACTCTATCTCTACAAAAAAATAGAAAAAAATTAGCCAGGTGTGGTGGCATGCACCTGTAGTCCCATCTACTTGGGAGGCTGAGGCAAGAGAATCACTTGAGCCCAGGAGGCAGAGGTTGCAGTGAGCTGAGACCACACCACTGCACTCCAGCCTGGGCAATGGGAGTGAAACCCTGTCTTAAAAAAAAAAAAAAGAAAGAAAACAATTACCCTATAGTATCAATACTATCACCATCCTAGTTTAGAGATGACAAACTGAATCTGAGAGGTTAATTTCCCCAAGATTGCATAGCTAAGTAAGAGGTGGACCCAGGGGTTTGAGCCAAGACAGTGATTCCTAAGCTTCAGATCCTGTCCCTTACACTACTTCTAGCAAAGGACATCACATTTTTCTGCAATTCCCACTAGACTGTGAGCCCTTTGAGTGAGGACCCGCATCTCAGTCATCCATACTACCTGCCCATTATAAGTGCTCAGGAAATATTTGTTAAATGTCAAATGAACTGACTGTTCCATTTTATACATGTATTTGTGCTGATGAAATGAATTCACCGAGCAGTACATGCCCATTCTGGTTCTGCAGGACACTGCCTTCATCCCCATTCCCTTGGTTGACACCAGCATCCAGGGTTTTCCACAGGATGGTTTGATGGCCTGCATTTGAGCTAAAGAATGAACTTCTGTCTGCCTCGTGGAGCCAAGCTACTGTACTGAGTGCTTATTCTTTTGTACACAGCTGAAGAAAGATAAGGCTTTGATGGGCCACTTCCAGGATGGGCTGTCCTACTCTGTTTTCAAGACCATCACAGACCAGGTCCTAATGGGTGTGGACCCCAGGGGAGAATCAGAGGTCAAAGCTCAGGGCTTTAAGGCTGCCCTTGTAATAGACGTCACGGCCAAGCTCACAGCTATTGACAACCACCCGATGAACAGGGTCCTGGGCTTTGGCACCAAGTACCTGAAAGAGAACTTCTCGCCATGGATCCAGCAGCACGGTGGATGGGTAAGCGTATCCTATTTAAAAACAAATTTTCTCAGAACTCAGAAGAGATGGGATGGATTTTTTTTTTTTTTTTAAATGAAGGGAACACATCTATGAAGCAGTTCTCATGAGTTTAGGACACTTGAGTGGCCAGAGATAGATCCCATTGATGGGAACATATTTTTAGTGATTATCTTCATCATCAATAAATATTTACTGAGCTCTCCAAGGGTATGCAGGGTATGTGTGGATGGAAAGGGACTGGTCAGATGGAACAGGAAATGAGGAGATGCTGAGATAAGAAATGTTTAGATAGACGTAATTTCTGTTTTCACAAATTTTGCAGGCAACGGAAGTCTGGCAGGGAGACAAGGGCAGGCAGACAGTTCCTCACACTTGCAGATACTTAGAGGTCACGGAGACTAAGCCTCATGCAGAGACTCAGGGTTCATGGCATTTTGTCATTGCTGCTTTGACCCAGCCATTTTGAGGGTGACATTTTGATACCAAATAAAAAGCCAACAGTTAAACTTTCATCTATTTTCAATTACCTGGTATCAGTCAAAACAGACCTCTTTCCCTTTTGCCTCAAACCCTCTCCCATCCCTCATCCCCAGTTCCTCAGGTCTCCTTAAGACTGCCATGTTCAAACAGCTACATAAGGTCCACCGTGTCAAAATGTACTACCCCACAACTTTAACTCTCAACAGGCCTAGGCATTCCTAGGCGGACAGACCTTCATCCCACATTATCCTTAGTTCTCTTTCCACTAGAATGGTCCAGGGGCCAGCAGGAGGATTGAGTCGGCTCTAGGCATGGCTGGAGTGACCCTGGGACCTCCACACAGCCTTGGTCTCTTTGCTGATGGAAGGAAAGTGCAGCTGATCTTGCCCAAGGGTCTGAAGTGCCCGCCATGGTCTTCAGTGGCTGCCACGGTCTTCAGTTTCTGTACATTGAGTTCCTTTCTATTTTCCACTTTTGCACCAAGTTTGATAACCCTAAGTGGCTGATCTGAACAACCAAGGCCATTCTTAAGTATTCTAAACTTAAGCTGCCTTAGCTTATTCTAAAAGGAGGACAGGTTCCTCAACATTATTTTAGTTCTACCTATTCTTCTTTCCAGGATTCCTTCACCCCAACAACCCCCTTGAGCCCTCATCTGCCCCAAAGCCTCTCCTGACCCTTCCAGCTCAAAGGCTGCACAGTCTCTAATCTCCAGCACTTCATGTTTGCACCATAATAATATACAAAAGATGATCAAATTCCCAATTGACTATGTTTCAAGCATTCATTTTAAAAATCATTGTTAGTCCTCTTAATATATTTTCTCAGAGAAATTATAATTATCAATTGGGTTCACAGGCTAGCTCTCAAAAATCTGTTTAACCCACTAATGTAGCTAAAATACCATAAATATGCTATTAAAAAGCAGTGGTTCTACACCAAAAGCACAAGCAACAAAAGAAAGAATAGATACATTGGATTTTGTTTTGTGCTTCCAAGAACACCACCACCAAGAATGTGAAAAAAAAAAAAAAACAACCCACAGAATGGGGAAAAATACTTGCAAATAAAATCTCTAATAAAAGACATATCTAAATACATAATGAACTATTATAATTGAACAATAAAATGTCAAATAACCCAATTTTCAAATGAGCAATGGATTTGAATAGACATTTCTCCAAAGAATATATATAAATGGCTAAAAGCACATGAAAAGACGCTTGTTTGACATCTTCATTTCAACAGTAGGAAAATGCAAATCAAAGCAACATTGAGCTCTATCCACTACAGTGGCTAAAATGAAAAAGAAAAGCATTGACGTCGGTGAGGATGTGGAGAAATTGGAACCTTTTATGTTGCTGGTTGGATTGTAAAATGGTGCAGTCCCTTTGGAAAACCACTTGGGAGTTCCCAAAAATGTTAACTATGAAGTTACCAATTCCAGGGGCCGGGCGCAGTGGCTCACGCCTGTAATCCCAGCACTTTGGGAGGCCGAGGCGGGTGGATCACGAGGTCAGGAGATCGAGACCATCCTGGCTAACACGGTGAAACCCCGTCTCTACTAAAAATACAAAAAAATTAGCCGGGCATGGTGGCAGGTGCCTGTAGTCCCAGCTACTCAGGGGGGCTGAGGTAGGAGAATGGTGTAAACCTGGGAGGCGGAGCTTGCAGTGAGCCAAGATCGCGCCACTGCACTCCAGCCTGGGAGAGAGAGCGAGACTCTGTCTCAAAAAATAAAAAAAATTAAAAAAAATAAAGTTACCAGTTCCACTCCTGGATATATACCCAAGAAAGTTGAAGACATATTTTCATACAAAAATTTGTACATGAATGTTCATAGCTTCCATTAGCCAAAAAGTGGAAGCAACCCAAATGTCCATCAACTGATGAATGATGAATGGATAAGGAAAATGTAGTATAGCCACACAATGGAATGTTATTCCACTATAAAAATAAAGCAAGTATTGATACATGGATGAACCTTAAAAACATTATGCTAAGTGAGAGAAAGTCAGGCAAAAAGGCCATATACTGTATGATTCCATGTATATGAAGTGTCCAGAATAGGCAAATGTATAGATACAGAAAGTAGACTCGTTGCTAGGAGCTGAGGGTGAGAGAATGGGAATAATTGCTAAGGGATGTGAAGTTTATTTTTGGAGTGATGATAATGTCCTAAAATCAGAGGCGATGTTTGCATAACTCTGTGAATATACTAAAAGTGAATATACGAATTCACTGAATTAGTGAATTTTATAGCATAATTATATTTCAATCAATCTTTATAAAACTAGCAGTTCTAATTCTAGTAATCAAAAAGAGGAAAGAGAAATGAATGCAATTATTTTTTTAATTTGGCTGCTGGTACTGGAGAAAAAAAACAGTTCCAATTAGAAAAAAAAAAAGATGAATTATTCAGTAGGAATACTAAAGTGGATTTCCAAAGGCTTTAGAAATTGATGGCACTAGTTCTTTAACATCTGTAGTTTCAATTCAAAATGTATTTCTTATCCAAGTTATCATAAACCTTAATCTTAACTCTTGGCCACAGTTAAGTTTAATTTGGAGCATGTCAGTGGAAATTAGGAGAGGGGAGACAAAGAATGTGAGAGGGATGACTAATTTTTCCAAAGGGTAGAAAAAAATAAAGGAGGATGATAAAGAATATTTATGAGCTGATATGAGCTATGGAAGTGTGAAGGACATGTGGATTGGGGCGTGTGCTCAGAGTCCCTTAACGGGAAAAAAAGAAGACAATGGGAAGTAAGCCTCCTGGGACTTCCATTGGCACCAAGTGTCTCGATGGCTCTCTCTGCTGTCCTTGTAGTAGTGTGGGAGGAGAGAAATCTAGTCCCATGCACAAGCTTTCCAGAAGCTCAGGGTTCCTATCTCAGTATTCCACATTTCATATGAGTACATCTCATCTTCCCAACTAAACTGCAAATCTGTAAGGGTGAGATCATGTTTTTATGATGGCTCCTTTAATCTCCCATAGCTCCCATTCCTCTACATAACACCATAGATGTTCAGCCAGTACTTGTAGAACGGTGAATGAATCGATCAAATGAATGAATAGCAACTCTATCTACAAGGCATGCCAAACAAGCTACCACGAGATTCTGATTTACTCCTTGGCTCTTTGTGCTCTCTGTGGAGCACCATTCACATAGTTACCCTGCAGTCCTGCAACCTCACCCATTCTGTAGCACTTTGAAAGGAGAGAGTTGTAACCTTCATAGTCATTGACCTTTCAGTACCCACTTTTATTACATTTTAAATACACCCTTGAAGCCCTCCCATCTTCAAGGAAAGATCCAGCCTGTTAGCTCTGGGTGTGTAACGTAAGACCTTAGCTGATGTCTTCCTTGCAGGCATACCAAGAATGCCAGTCACCTCTCCAAACCCTCCCCCAAACTAACATGGTCTCCTGAGCCTCGGGTCACGCCTGGGATAGAGCAGAGTTAGCAGCCATATGTTTTCACTTCAACAGTAAATCTAACTTGGAATTTTAAGAACCTATTTTTCCCCTCTAGGAAAAAATACTTGGGATATCACATGAAGAAGTAGACTGAAATATCAGATTTGTCATCAGGAATACTCTTTGTCTACTGTGGTCCTGTGCACGTTGGCCTCAGATGGACTACAGGAGATTACAACGTACAAGGCAGATGGAGCATTGACGTTTTCAAAACCATTATTCCTGTGACTGGAGAGGCATCAGGAGAGGTCTCGTTCGTCTCCAGCTCATAAAATGTAGCAGCATCATCCTTGACAGTGATGTTTTTCAGGCCCTCCATTGAGAACCTGAGGAAATCTGTAAAGATAAGTGGTGATGTTGTTTCAAACGTTCAGAACAGATACCATCATCCTGCCTTTGTTAGCTGCTGTAGGGAAAGTGCGTTACAGATGTCTGCTGACCTCACAAGAGTGAAAAGATAAACTGTGCATGTGTTTCCACTTCCGTTTCTAGTACTATTTATTTTTAAACTACACTTGGGGTGGCCTAATACCTAGGAAGATGTTGCTATTCACGTTAGTAAACAGCCTAAAGAAACTCTTAGGTTTACTGCTACATCCATTTGTTTGGAGAGGTAACTGTTGTCTGTGCCTTTTTGAAAAACTTCCATTTGGTACAAAATTTTTACTCCAACACCCCCTCAACCCTTTTCTCAGGGACCACACCTCTTCTTCCCAAGGTCCCTGGGACTTCCTCATTCTTTGTGGTAGTACAATGATTGGTAGCAGGTAAAATAAATACATAGAAAGACTACTGTCAAAAGAGTGTCTTCTGATTAGTAAGTAATAAGTCTTCTGATTATCAAATGAGTTAATTTACATAAAATGCTCAGAACACTTCTTGGTACTTAATGTTAAGTCTTCACTTATGGTCCCTAATGTGTGCTGCCCTCAGCTAAGCTGCCAATTTCCTCTCCTGTCAACGCAGTCACTGATTGCTTTCCTGAGATTGCGGCTGTTCGGTATAAGGTTTTTTAGAAACATGCTCAATAGTAAGTGTTTAAGACACAAAACAATTTAAAAAATACTATCAAATTATAAGGTCTTACAAATTTCTGGATATGTAGTACCCAGCATATGGCCTGATGTAAAACTGGTGCTTAATAAAACTTTGAAGAACAAACAAGTCAGTAAGTCAGACATACTCTCAGGTTCAAGGGAAAACTGGATCTATCTATTATCAAATGCTTCACTAGCCTACCCATCTCAATAAAATGAGTTATTCTCTTTTGTTTTCTTCTCCCACATGAAAGTCATCACTGTTAGGGATAGAGGAGTCTCCATTTTTTGTTTGTTTGTTTGTTTTGTTTTGTTTTGAGACAGACTCTCGCTCTGTCACCCAGGCTGCAGTGCAGTGGCGTGATCTCGGCTCACTGCAACCTCCGCCTCCTGGGTTCAAGCAATTCTCCTGTCTCAGCCTCCCAGGTAGCTGAGATTACAGGCACCCGCCACCATGCCCGGCTAATTTTTTTTTTTGTATTTTTAGTAGAGACGGGGTTTCACCATGTTAGCCAGGATGGTCTAGATCTCCTGACCTCGTGATCTGCCCGCCTTGGCCTCCCAAAGTGCTGGGATTACAGGCGTGAGCCACCACACCCAGCCAGGAGTCTCCTTTTAGACATGGAGACACTGAAGACCACCTCTTCCTCCATCCACTCTGATCTCGCCATTCCAAACTTTTTGCAGTTCCCCAAAGGTATTATGCAACCTGGCACCTCTGAGCCTTCATAACAGTATCCTCTCTACTTGGAGTGTTCTTGCATGATGGCTTCCTTTCCCCCTGTTTCCACTAAAACAACTAACTCTAGCTCATCTTTCCAAATTTCCTCAGTTTCCTCCAGGACTCATTTGCTAACCCTCCCTTGGCCATCATGTGGCTATATTTGGATGCCTTTTCTCATAAGATGCTCCAAATCACCCTGCATGTAGACATTATGCTTAATATATTGCACCGTAAGATTTGGTTTACCCAGTCTTTCTCAGTGGATTGTAAAGTCGTTTGCAAACAGGTACTATGCCTAATTTAACTTTATATATCTAGTGCCTGGCATAGTTTTGGCACACAGTTGCAGAACCATACCCTCGTCTGACTGATACAGCTTGTAAATCAGTATGACTGGAATATGCCCTAAGATATGTGTACTTACAACAAGCTCTCCATGTGTTTCCAATATCATCTATGGCTTGTGGTCAAGATGAAGTAACTAACGAGATTTAATCTCCTGCTTGAAACAACTAAAAAAAAAAAAAGACACTATAGATGAGAATGATTTTCAAGGCATTGGACATTAGGTAATTTTTTTTTTTTTTTGTATTTTTAGTAGAGACGGGGTTTCACTGTGTTAGCCAGGATGGTCTCGATCTCCTGACCTCGTGATCTGCCTGCCTCAGCCTCCCAAAGTGCTGGGATTACAGGCGTGAGCCACCGCGTCTGGCTAGGAGTCTCCTTTTAGAGAACTGGTCCCTGAGAGATGAGACTCTAAGTGAGCCCTATGTTTGCCCTAGAGTACTGCATGCAAAGAGTTTCTAGGTCATGCTGGAGAGAGGGGAACCCACGCAGAGTTCACCAGCTCCCTGAGTAGAGAGGATAGAGCTAGGAGTCCAGAAAGATCAGAGCAGCTGAAGTTTGCAAGTCTGATAAAGGATGAAAGAGAGAGGCACACAAAGCTCCAGAGACCTGCAGATATTTCCCCTTAGGTATTCAGATGAATACTGATCAAAACATGTGCATGAAGAAATTACCCAAGGCATGGGGAAGAACCACCTGAAAATATTAAAGGGAACGCTCTCCAAAGCCTACACAAGGCCATGAATACTGCCTATTTTGGCAATAGGTAGAATCCACAAAACAATTTTGTCTCAGAAGTGGCAAAAATTAGCCCTAGACTAAGCACTCTCTGGTTCTGCACAACCTAAAGATTAAGAGCAAAAACTTAAAGGATTAAACTGTTACCAAATAACTGAGCTGTGTTCTAGAACAAACGCAAGGATATCTATAGAATAATCAAAATATCCAGCATCCAACAAGGTAATATTCACAATGTCTAGCTTCTGATAAAAAATTATAAGGCATGCAAAAAAGCAGCAAAATGCAATCCATCATGAGAAGAAAAATCAGGAAAGCTAGAATGTTACAGATGATAGAATTGTTAGACATTAGAACTATTATAACTGTATTCCACATGTTCAATAAGCCAGAAGAAATATAACATGCAAAGTACACATAGAACTTATAAGTATGACTCAAACCAAAGTTCTAGAGATGAAATCTATAACATCTGAGATGAAAAACATGCTGGATTGGATTAATAGCAGATTAGACATCATAGAAGAATGGATAGGTAAACTTGAAGACATAGCAATAGATCCAAAATAAAAAACAGAAAAATAAGATTGAGGGAAAAAACAGCAATAGCGAATTGTGGAATGACTTCTAATGAATGGCCTATATATATAGGTATAATTGAAGTGAAGATTTTCCAAATTTGATGAAAACTATAAACCCACAGAACCAAGAAATTCTACAAATGCCAAGCACCAAAAACAGGGACAGGGAGAAAACTATGCCAAGGCACACCATAAATTGCTCAAAACCAGTGATAAAGAAAAAAAAAAGTCTTCCAAGCAAGCAGAGAAAAAGGCATATTATATGCAGAGAAAGAAAAATTAAAATGACAGCAAACTTCTTGGGGACTAACACAAAAGAAACAGTAACCTCTCTAAAGTATCAAGACACACACACACACACACACACACACACACACACACACACTATAAATGCAGAATTCTATACCCAGCCAAAAGATGATTTTAAAATGTAGGGAAAATAGAGATTTTTTGAGATGTATAAAACCTAAAAGAATTCCTTATCAGCAGACCTGAACTATAATAAATATTAAAGAAATTCCTTCAGTAGAAGCCAAATTATTCCAAATAGAAATCTGTATCTGAAAAAAAAGCACTAGAAATGATAAAATGTGGGTAAATATAAAGAATTTTTAATTAAAAGATAATATACTATTTAAAAGAAAAAATAATAATGTGTTATGGGGTTTATAATGTAAATCAAAATGTATAAGAATAATAGTATGGAGGGTGGGAGACAGAAATGGAAGTGTAATTGTACAGATCCACATTATATGTGAAGTGTACAATTTCACTTGAAAGTAGACTGGGCCAGGTGCAGTGGCTCACACCTGTAATGCAGCACTTCCAGAGGCAGAGGCAGGTGGATCACCTGAGGTCAGGAGTTCGAGACCAGCCTGGCCAACCTGGTGAAACCCCATCTCTACTAAAAATACAAAAATTAGCCAGGAATGGTGGTGCACACCTGCAATCCCAGCTGCTCAGGAGGCTGAGGTGGGAAGATCGCTTGAACCTGGGAGGTGAAGTTTGCAGTGAGCAAAGATTGCGCCACTGCACTCCAGCCTGGGTGACAGAGTGAGACTCTGTCTCAAAAAAAAAAAGAGAGAGACTGTGGTAAGTTAAAAATGTATACTCTAAACCCAGAATCAACTCCTAAAACACACACACACACACACAAACTCATACAAAATGTATAGCTAATAAGCCAACAATGGAGGTAAAATGGAATCACGAAAAATAATCCATAACAAGGCAGAAAAGGACAGATGAGACAGAAAGAAAACAGCAAGTGGTCTATTAAACTCAACCATATCAATAATCACAATAAATGCAATGATATAGATATTCCAATTAAATGGCAGAGATTATCAAATTGGATTAGAAAGACCAACTTTATACACATCTTCCAAAAAAAAAACTTTAAATACAAAGACATGAACAGTCTTAGGCAAAAGGATGGATGCTTTGGGAGGCCAAGGTGGATGGACTGCTTGTGTCCAGGAGTTCAAGACCAGCCTAGGCAACTTGACAAAACCTCATCTCTACAAAAACACACAAAAATTGTGTGGTGGCGCATGCCTGTAGTCCCAGCTTCTTGGGAGGCTGAGGAGGGAGGCTCACTGGAGCCCAGGAGGTCGAGGCTGCAGTGAACCACGTTCATGTCACTGCACTCCAGCCTGGGTGACTGGGTGACAGAGGGAGACCCTGCCAAAAGAAAAAAAAAAAAAAAGTCAAAGGATGGAAAGATGTACCATAACACCCGTCAAAGGAAAATGGAGTGGCTACGTTAATATCAATCCAAGTAGATTCAAAGCAAATAACGTTACCAGGTGATATAGTTTGGATGTTTGTCCCCTCCAAATCACATGTTGAAATATGATTCCCAATTTTGGAGATGGGCCTTGTGGGAGTTGTTTTGGTCATAGGGGCAGATCCCTCATGAATGGGAGGGATCCCTGAAGTAATGCATTCACACAAGATCTGGTTGTTAAAGAGTCTGGAATTTTCCCCTTCTCTCTTGTTCCCTCTTTCATGTGACATGCCTACTCCCCCTTCCCCTTCTGCCATGATTGTAAACTTCCTGAGACCCTCACTGGAAGCAGATGCCAGCACTGTGCTTCTTGTACAGTCTGCAGAACTGTGAGTCAAAATAAACCTCTTTCTTTATAAATCACCTAGTCCCAGGTATTCCTTTACAGTAATGCAAAATGGACTAATACAGCAGGGATAAAGTCATTTAATAATAGTAAAGGAGTCAATTCATCAAAGGACATAACAATCCTAATGTTATGCATCTAGTAACAGCCTCAAAATACATAAAGCAAAAACTAATAGAATTGCAGGGAGCAATATACAAAAATGTTTCACAATTATAGCTGGAGATTTCAACATCTCTCAATGATTGATAAAACCAGTAGACAGAAAATCAGTAAGGATAGTACAGATTTGAAAACTTGGAGCATTAAAACCAACAACAGCAGAAAAAAACATTCTTTTCAGGTGCACATGGACATTTAAAACACTGAACTATCTTCTGGACCATAAATCTCAATAAATTTAAAAGGATTAAAGTAATTTAAAGAATGTTTGTTGACCACACTGTAAATAAATTTGAAATCAATAACAAAGATATCTGGAAAATTCCTCAAATGTTTGGAAACAAAACCTGTCTAAATTACCCATGGGTCAAAGCACAAATCAAAAGGGAAATTAGAAGTATTTTTAACTTAAAAATGAAAGCACAGCATACTAGTAATTCTGAGAGGCACTAAGGTAGTACTTAGTGCTTCACTTTAGCAAAGGAAACTTTAAAGCACTAAATAGCTACATTAGAAAAGAATGGTCACTAACTGATGACTTCAGCGTATACCTTAAACTAGAAAAGGCAAATCCAGAGTAGGCATGAGAAAGGGAATTCAAGAAATAGAAAACAAGAAATAGTGAAAAAAATCTACAAACCCAAAAGCTGGTTTGTTGAGCATATCAATAAAACCGCTAGCTTGACTGATCAGAAAAAAGGAGAAAATATGAAGATATTTTCAGAATGTTTTCAAAATTTTGAAAAGTAGAATGTGTCATGAGCAGACCAAGAGTAGAAGACATACCAAAGGAAACTCTCAGCCTGAAGGAAAATTATAGCAGATGGAAAGTCAGATCTCTACAAAGGAATAAGGAGCATCAAACATAATAAATATGCAGATAAATAAAAGTATTTTTCTTTACATTTAAAAGACAATTGTTTAAAGCAAAATAATAATAGTATATTATGGCATTTACAACATGCAGAAGTAAAACTTATGACAATAAAAACACAAATGAGGCCAGGTTGTGGTGGCTCTTGCCTGTAATCCCCCAACTTTGGGAGGCTGAAGCAGGTGGATCACCTGACGTCAGGAGTTCGAGACCAGCCTGGCCAACATGGTGAAACCCCGTCACTACTAAAAATACAAAAATTAGCCATGCATGGTGGTGCATGCCTGTAATCCTAGCTACATAGGAGGCTGAGGCAAGAGAATGGCTTGAACCTGCGAGGCAGAGGTTGCAGTGAGCCAAGATTGTGCCACCGCACTCCAGCCCAGGCAACAGAGCAAGACTCCAGCCCGGGTGACAGAGTGAGACTCCATCTCCCAATAAATAAATAAATACACAAATGATAGGAAAGGATTCTGGGAAGATGGTGGAGTAGGAAACACTAGAAATCTGTCTCCCACCTAGACAACAATAACTCAAACAGAATCAATCTGAAATAACTATTTTGGAACTCTGAAGTCTATTAAAGGTTTGCAACTTCCAGGCAAAAGCTTCGACAGGTAAACTACAGTTAATTTAATCAATTTCAGCTCTTAGCACAATACCAGCTACCTATCCCCCAACTCCAGTCCCATGGCAAGCAATGGTGCACCTGTTCCTGGAGCAGTTTGCACACAGCTTGTGGTAAGCAGAGTGCAAAAAAAGAACCCTGTTCTCCAAATATCAGGGATCTGTGCACTGATTGCTGACTCCTGCTCTGATCAAAGAGGTGCAGGTAAAGAGGTGGCAGCCATTGTTTGTCAGTCTGACCCATTACACCTCTCCCCATGACTACAAGCCCCTCCTCCTCCAGCTGAAGTGACTCCCAGGAAACTTAAAAGGCCTCTGCCCTCTTTTTCTCCTTTTCATTTTTCTCCTTTTCCCATTTGGGGAGCCAGAAAATGAGACTAGGATTTTCAAAAGCAACTGTATTTGGGGGAAAAATATGAAATTGACCTTGCATATCCAAAGAGAGGCACAGACTCAGAAAAGACCTCAGAAGACTTAAGTTTATACCTCAGGGTGATCCTTGGTACAGAGACAGTGTACAACAATTAAAAATCAAAACCACACAAACCCAAACCACAAAATAGCAAGCCCTGGGGAAGGGGATTAATCTGATTTCCACAGTTACCATATTATTAGATTCAAATGTCTATGTTTTCAACAACAACAAAAAATCAAAGCATACAAAGAAATAGGAAAGTATGACCCAAAGGAAAAAAATCAACAGAAACTCTCTGAAAAAGATCTGGTGGCAAATCTACTAGAGAAAGGCTTTCAAACAACTGTCTTAAAGATTCTCAAAAAAGAACAAAAGGAACATGTGGAGAAAGTAAAAAAATAATGTAAATAGCATATGGACAAAATAGAAATATCAATAAAGAGACAAGCAACTTAAAAGAAAACAAAAAGAAATTTTGAAAGCTGAAAGTACAATTACCGAAATAAAAAATTCACTAAACAAATTTAAAGACAGATTTGAGAAAGCAGAAGAAAGAATCAGGAAACTTGGCTGGGCAGGGTGGCTCACGCCTGTAATCCCAGCACTTTGGGAGGCTGAGGCGGGCAGATCACAAGGTCAGGAGATCAAGACCATCCTGGCTAACACGGTGAAACACCGTCTCTACTAAAAATACAAAAAATTAGCCAGGCGAGGTGGCGGGCGCCTGTAGTCCCAGCTACTCGGGAGGCTGAGGCAAGAGAATGGCGTGAACCCCGGGGGGTGGAGCCTGCAGTGAGCCAAGATCGTGCCACTGCACTCCAGCCTGGGTGACAGAGCGAGACTCCATCTCAAAAAAAAAAAAAAAAAAAAAGAATCAGGAAACTTGAACATAATGACGCAGGATTTTTCTTGGCCCCTTTGCTGGGCTTGCAGCAGGGGCACCCAACACCTCGGCCTGCTGTGCTCAGCCCCTGGTAGGAGGGAGCACATGGGCAAGCGAGTGCAGGGCTTGGCTGGTTGCTCCAAGTGCCAACACAAGAGCAAGCTCTATGCAGGCCCCACGGCCAGACCAGGTATGTTGCCCTAAGGGGATCGCAACAGTGCCCAAGCAGGGGTGCCCCATGACCCCAAATCCCCAGAAGGGGTGTTAGTGTGCTAATTAGCTCTTTTAGTTCCACTGTCCACAGCCTGATGGACGGCAGCACGTTAACAGCTCAGTCAGATTCTTGCCCCTCCCTGACCCAGGGCTCCAGAACTGGCGTGGCTCTGGGACCAGCTTGGCCCCGCCACTGCTTCTATCATGTGGGGAAGCTGCCCTCCACCGTTGAGGGCAGAGGGCCAGTGTTACAGCCTTTCTGGCCACCCACATTCAGTGAGTCCCAAGCTCTTGTCCTGCATCCAAGAAGAATGAGGTCACACTGACAATTAAAGGGTGGTAAAGACAGATAATTTTATTGAGTGAAGAAACAGCTGTCAGTGGAAAGAGGGTGGGAAGGTCGGATTGTCTCTCCTGAAGTCAGATTGTCTCTCTCAGTGTGGCTGAATCTGGGATTTTTATAGGCACAGGATAAGGGAGTGCATGCTTCCTGGTTTGTGAGTATGCAAGAAAGGTTAAAATCAAGGCACCAGTGAAAGGTGGGCACAGTGTAAAAACAATTAGGGAAGGGTAGGTATATGTAAAATAGGTTAAGGGTAGGGATCAATCAAAGGAAAGCACACCAAACCGGAAGACAGTACTCAATCCAAACTGTGAATTTGACTTGTAGCTTGGCCTCAGGCTTTAAACTTTCTTTGGCTTGAATGTGGGGTTTCACTGGGGACCTGCCCATCTGCCTAGGATTTCTCTGTCTCCTGCCTCTATCAATAAGACAGTGGAAATTATCAAGTCTGAGGAACAGAAAGAAAAAGTCTGAAGAAAAGTGAACAGAGCCTAAGGGAGTTGTGAGACATCATCAAGCTGCCCAACACAAGCATTATGGGAGTTCCAGAGGAAAGGAGAGAGAGAGACAAAGAGGCACAGAGAATACATGAAGAAATAATGGCTGCAAACATTACAAATTTGAGGAAAGATATGAATGTAAATATCCAAGAACCTCAATGAATTCCAAGCACAATGAACTGAAAGAGACCTACCCCGAGGCACATTATAATCAAATGCCTGAAAGACAATGACAGATAATCCTGAAAGTAGGATGAGGGAATTGACTCATCACATACAAGGAACCCTTAGATCATCAGCAGATTTTTCATCAAAAACTTTGGATGCCAAAGGCAATAAGCCAATATATTCAAAATGCTAAAAGAAAACAAAAAAAAAACAAAAAAAAAACAAAAAAATGTGTCAACCAAGAATCCTATATTCAGCAAAACTATTGTATTAGCTTGTTCTCACTCTGCTATAAGGACATACCCAAGACTGGGTAATTTATAAAGGAAAGAGGTTTAATTGACTCACAGTTCAGTATGGCTGGGGAGGCCTCAGGAAACTTATAATCATGGCATAAGGGGAAACAAACATGTCCTCCTTCACATGGCAGCAGGAGAAAAATGAGAGCCAAGCAAAGGGGAAAGCCCCTTATAAAACCATCAGATCTCGTGAGAACTTACTATCACGGGAATAGCATGGGGGAAACTGCTCCTGTGATTCAATTACCTCCCACCAGGTCCCTCTCATGACAGGTGGGGATTATGGGAACTACAATTCAAGATGAGATTTGTGGGGGGGACACAGCCAAACCATATCAATTATCTTTCAAAATGAGGGGGAAATTAATTCCCAGATAAACAAAAGTTGATTGAGTTTGTTAGACTAGGTCACCTCTGCAGGGTGAAATTAAAGGACCCTTGACAGTAACTAAAGTCATTTGAAGAAATAAAGATCTCAATGAAGGTAAATACATAGGCCACTACCGAAGCTAGTATTATTATTATTTTTTTGAGACAGAGTCTTGCCCTGTTGTCCAGGCTGGAGTACAGTGGCACGATCTCAGCTCACTGCAACCTCTGTCTCCTGGAGGGGTCAAGCAATTCTTATGCCTCAGCTTCCCAAGTAACTGGGATTACAGGTATGCACCACCATGCCTGGCTAATTTTTGTATTTTTAGTAGAGACAGGGTTTCACCATGTTGGCCAGCCTGGTCGCAAACAGGTGATCTGCCTGCCTTGGCCTCTCAAAGTGCTAGGATTACAGGCATGAGCCACCATGCCTCAACCAAAGCTAGTATTATTTGGACAAGGGTTTGTAACTCTACTTTTTGTTTTCTACACTTTTTTTTTTTTTTTGAGACAGTCACTCTGTCGTCCAGGCTGGAGTGCAATGGCGCAATCTTGGCTCACTGCAACCTCTGCCTCCCAGGTTTAAGCGACTCTCCTGCCTCAACCTCCCGAGTAGCTGGGACTACAGACACATGCCACCACACCTGGCTAATTTTTTGTATTTTTAGTAGAGACGGAGTTTCACTGTGTTACCCAGGATGGTCTCAATCTCCTAACCTCATGATCTGCCTGCCTCGGCCTCCCAAAAGTGCTGGAATTTCCGACGTGAGCCCCCGCGCCCAGCTCTTTTTTTTTTCTTTTGACAGAGTCTCACTCTGTCGCCCAGGCTGGAGTGCAGTGGCATGATCTCGGCTCACTGCAACCTCCACCTCCTGGGTTCAAGCGATTCTCCTGCCTCAGCCTCCTGAGTAGCTGGGATTACAGGCGTGCGCCATCACGCCCAGCTAATTTTTGTATTTTTAGTACAGATGGAGTTTCACCATGTTGGTCAGGCTGGTCTCAAACTCCTGACCTTGGGTGATCCGCCCACCTCAGCCTCCCAAAGTGCTGGAATTACAGGCATGAGCCACCGCGCCCGGCCTCCACATTGTTTTCTACATAATTTAAAATTCTTTTTTTTTTTTTTTTTTTTTTTTTTTTTGAGACAGAGTCTCACTCTGTCGCCCAGGCTGGACTGCGGACTGCAGTGGCGCAATCTCGGCTCACTGCAAGCTCCGCTTCCCGGGTTCACGCCATTCTCCTGCCTCAGCCTCCCCAGTAGCTGGGACTACAGGCGCCCGCCACCGCGCCCGGCTAATTTTTTTGTATTTTTAGTAGAGACGGGGTTTCACCTTGTTAGCCAGGATGGTCTCGATCTCCTGACCTCATGATCCACCCGCCTCGGCCTCCCAAAGTGCTGGGATTACAGGCGTGAGCCACCGCGCCCGGCCCATAATTTAAAATTCTAATGTGTTTAAAATAATTATTAGTTTATGTTTCGGGGAACATGGATAAAGATATAACTTTGTTACAAACAACCAAATGGGGTGGGGATGGAGCTATAAATAAGTAGATTTTTTGGCCAGGCATAGTAGCTCACACCTGTAATCCCAGCACTTTGGGAGGCTGAGGTGGGCAGACTGCTTGAGCCCAGGAGTTCAAGACCAGCCTAGGCAACATGGTAAAACCTCATCTCCCCACTGGCTGCTCTGAAAAGCCATCTTTGCATTGTGCCTCGTCAGCCTCCTTGCTCGCCGCAGCCGCCTCCGCCGCGCGCCTCCTCCGCCGCCGCGGACTCCGGCAGCTTTATCGCCAGAGTCCCTGAACTCTCGCTTTCTTTTTTATCCCCTGCATCGCGTCACCGGCGTGCCCCACCATGTCAGACGCAGCCGTAGACACCAGCTCCGAAATCACCACCGAGGACTTAAAGGAGAAGAAGGAAGTTGTGGAAGAGGCGGAAAATGGAAGAGACGCCCCTGCTAACAGGAATGCTAATGAGGAAAATGGGGAGCCGGAGGCTGACAACGAGGTAGATGAAGAAGAGGAAGAAGGTGGGGAGGAAGAGGAGGAGGAAGAAGGTGATGGTGAGGAAGAGGACGGAGATGAAGATGAGGGAGCTGAGTCAGCTACGGGCAAGCGGGCAGCTGAAGATGATGAGGATGACGATGTCGATACCCAGAAGCAGAAGACCGACGAGGATGACCAGACAGCAAAAAAGGAAAAGTTAAACTAAAAAAAAAAGGCCGCCGTGACCTATTCGCCCTCCACTTCCCGTCTCAGAATCTAAACGTGGTCACCTTCGAGTAGAGGGGCCCGCCCGCCCACCGTGGGCAGTGCCACCCGCAGATGACACGCGCTCTCCACCACCCAACCCAAACCATGAGAATTTGCAACAGGGGAGGGAAAAAGAACCAAAACTTCCAAGGCCCTGCTTTTTTTTTCTTAAAAGTACTTTAAAAAGGAAACTTGTATTTTTTATTTACATTTTATATTTTTGTACATATTGTTAGGGTCGGCCATTTTTAATGATCTCGGATGACCAAACCAGCCTTCGGAGCGTTCTCTGTCCTACTTCTCACTTTACTTGTGGTGTGGCCATGTTCATTATAATCTCAAAGGAGAAAAAAAAACTTGTAAAAAATGCAAAAATGACAACAGAAAAACCATCTTATTCCGAGCATTCCAGTAACTTTTTTGTGTATGTACTTAGCTGTACTATAAGTAGTTGGTTTGTATGAGATGGTTAAAAAGGCCAAAGATAAAAGGTTTCTTTTTTTTCCTTGTCTGTGAAGTTGCTGTTTATTTTTTTTTGGCCTGTTTGATGTATGTGTGAAACAATGTTGTCCAACAATAAACAGGAATTTTATTTTGCTGAGCTGTTCTAAAACAAACAAAAACAAAAAAAACCTCATCTCTAAAAAAACAACAAAAAAATTAGCTGCATGTGGTAGTGTGTGCCTGTAGTCTCAGCTACTCGGGAGGCTGAAGTGGGAGGATCACCTGAGCCTGGAAGGTGGAGGTTGCAGTGAGCCAAGATCGCGTCACTGCACTCCAGCCTGGATGACAGAGCAAGAGCCTGTCTCCACAAAAAAAAAAAAAAAAAGAGAAAGAAAGAAAAGAAAAGAAAAGAAAAAAAGAGGGAGAAAGACAAAACCATCAAATTTATTTAATATGTTTTATATGGTACAGGAGTCTTCATATTGAAATGAAGACCCAAAGAAACAGATAAGTGTTAGTGTGTTTTGTAGTAGGTTTGATGAAGAGTAGACAGTTGTGGAGAAATATGATAGGACATAAAGGGTATGATCTCATAATAACTGGGGGAAACTTAGCAAGACCTAAGTTTAGATTTCTTTGTGACTTTTTTTTTTTTTTTTTTGAGACGGAGTCTTGCTCTGTCACCCAGGCTTGAGTGCAGTGGCGCGATCTCAGCTCACTGCAACCTCCTCCTCCCAGGTTCATGCCATTCTCGTGCCTCAGCCTCCTGAGTAGCTGGGACTACAGGCGCCCTCCACCACGGCTGGCTAATTTTTGTATTTTTAGTAGAGACAGTTTCACCATGTTAGCCAGGCTGGTCTCAAACTCCTGACCTCAGGTGATCCACCCGCCTCAGCCTCCCAAAGTCCTGGGATTACAGGCGTGAGCCACTGCACCCAGCCAACACTTTGTCTTTAGAGATAAGAATGTTCTCTTCCAGGTGTAGAGAGGGCACCTCTCACACGAGAGACCTGCTTAAGGGAAAGATCAGAAAACTTATCCCAGGTTTATAAACTGCTTCAGGTGAGAATGATGAAGGAATCCTGCTTCCATGATTTTTCTCCAATTCCTTCAGCTCAAAATAGTATTCCGAGGTGTCATATTTTAGGTACTACGTTTTGAGTCCCAGTAGAGAAGACACAAATTACCAATGTCTGAAACAAAAACAGACATTAAAAGGATAGAGAACGTATTTTATGTCAGTAAATCAACAACTTAGATGAAATGGACAAATTCCTTGAAAGACACAAGTAACTAAAGCTGACCTAAGAAGAGAAAATATGAATAACCTAGATTAGAGAAACTGAGGTATTAAAATTTTTCCTGTTACATATGTATCTGCAGTTAGGAATCATAGCACTGCATACTTGTGGACCCTAACCCTTTCCTTCCCATGGAATCCCCAAGAAGGAACTTCAATTACTGGACAAAAGACGAGAATCTTCAAGCCTGTTCAATTGAGTAATGGTAGTGGGGGAGCTTTTGGTAGGATGATCAGAAGTCAAAAGACCTCAAGATAATCACTTCTTGTCTGCCATGCAGCTTGTGATGTAAGATGGGCATCGGGCTGTCTCCTTTTTGACAGTTATTTTCTTTGGAAAGTGAAGCAAGGGCTTAGGGGGAAGGAAGCATCGAATAGGTATCTCCATGGAATAGGATACCACATAGGCGTTTGGGCTTCAATGGACTCTACCTTGTAATACAATTCATTGCCTCAAATGCATTATGTATAAGTACCTCTCTAGAACAGGTATTGGAATTGACTAATTAAAGAGTCAAGTGGTAGCCAGTCGTGGTAGCTCACGCCTGTAATCCCAGCACTTTGGGAGGCCGAGGTGGGCGGATCACAAAGTCAGATCGAGACCATCCTGGCCAACATGGCGAAACCCTGTCTCTACTAAAAATACAAACAATTAGCTGGGTGTGGTGGCACATGCCTGTAATCCCAGCTACTCGGGAGGCTGAGGCAGGAGAATCGCTTGAACCACAGAGTCAGAGGTTGCAGTGAGCTGAGATAGCACCACTGCACTCCAGCCTAGCGACAGAGCTAGATTCAGTCTTAAAAAAAAAGAAAAAAAAGTCAACCGGCTCATTAAAGAGTTAAGGTTCTGAAAACTCTACATTAGGGACTAATACCAAGAAATACTGAGAGATAAATGAGTCCAGACATGCCTTGACAATTAATTACAGTGGAATAAAGATTAAAATCTAGACCTCAATCCATATCCTTTTCCCTCTACCCAAAGACAACCCGTTTTTCTTTTTCTTTTTTTTTTTTGAGACGGAGTTTCGCTCTTGTTGCCCAGGCTGGTTGGAGTGCCAAGGCCTCATCTCGGCTCACTGCAACTTCTGCCTCCTGGGTTCTAGAGATTCTGCTGCCTCAGCCCCTCGAGTAGCTGGTATTACAGGTGCCTACCACAATGCCCAGCTAATTTTTGCATTTTTAGTAGGGATGAGGTTTCACCAAGTCCGTCAGGCTGGTCTCGAACTCCTGGCCTCAAGCAACCCGCTCGCCTCGGCCTCCCAAAGTGCTGCGGCTGGCGACAACCCATTTCTAATCAAAATTTTGCAGTGGAACTTTTCATACTCAAATTGGGCATTTCCTGTCAAGCCTGGTCATTCATCACTTTATTATTCTCTTTATTCTACAGGTAGGGGTTTCTCTATTGACCAGGTTAGTCTCAAACTCCTGACCTCAAAAGATCTTCCCGTCTCAGCTTCCCGAGTAGCTTACAGGCTCAAGCTACGACAGCTGGCAATCTTTGATTATTTTAAGTCGGAGGGCAGGAGGCGAGGAAAGGCAGCACAGTGCCTGGTACACAGTAAATGCAGGCTAGAATGTTAATAAAATTATCCTTCATTTTAACTTCCATATTGGAGAAGACTGGTTTTGTATGTTGACTAAATATGAATTTGCAAATGCAAATCTCAAGCAGATTTTCTGTGGGAGGGGGGACTGTGCAGATTACATAATGATATAAATGGATGGAACCAGAGATCTGAGGACAGTAATTCGTCATTTGAATTAAATTTATAGAAACAATGCAATCATACACAAGGCAACGAATTAAAATGAAAACTACTTAATTATTTACTTAGCTGAAAACCTATCTGGGGAAAAAAGGACCCAAAACAGTTTGCAGTGTTTCCCCATTCGTGAGATTGCCTTTCCATCAGGCAAACCAATCTTCTGCCTTTTCTTTCTTTCATTTAACTGGGAATGGCACAACGTGTTTCTGTTTTCCTTCTAGGAAAAAGAATGGGAGGAGTCAGCAAAGACCAAGGTAAGTTCACTTATTTGAGGGCATTGGCTAAGGGAAAACATTTTAAAACTTGGTTTCCCTTTAATTGGTATTTGGGCTCAAATACTGCAAAATAAAAAAGCAGCTTTCCTCCCTTCCTATCAAACTAGTAAGCTCAGTATCAAGCAGAGACCTGGTATTTCACTGGATTTTACTATGTCCTACCCTCACAGAAAAAGAATCATCACATCACACTGGGCTCTTCACCAGGAAAGCAATGTGCATTTTATAAGCTAATTTAAGATCCTGGAAAAGAGGGAAGTGCTCAGAGTCCATACTAGAACTCCTTCCAGTTTACTGAAAACAAGAGCAGTTTTGAAGCACAGGCTATTTCTTATTCTTGTTCCCAAACACAAATGCTGCCAGCACTGAACTAAGCAACAGCCCTTCGCAAATCTCTCTTGCAGAGACTGATTGGCTGATTGACTGATTTAGAGACAGGGTTTCACTCTGTAGCCCAAGGCTGCCGTGCAAGTGGCGCAATCACGAGTCTTATTGCAGCCTCAACCTCCCCAGCTTAAGTGATCCTCCCACTTCAGTCTTCCAAGTAGCTGGGACTATAGGTGTACTGGCAGAGTATTATTTAAAATGCAAACAATAAAGCTGGGTTTTGTGTCTGAAACAGCGAAGGACAACCAGCTACTGTCTTAATTTCTTGCTGAAAAGAAAGGACAGACACTTTTACTTTTCCACTGTTTTATTACAAAAATCAAATTTCATTTGTTACAATTCAGCTTATTTATTGTAATAATCAAAAAAGGGGTTTATACAAGGTATTTTTATACAGTTTATAATTAAAGCACTTATTTTACAAAAGGAGGGAAGTGAATAAGTGGACAAGGGCTGACCAAATGTTGGCCATTATAACATAAATACATCCTTGCAAAGCACCATCGTACCAAAGTCAATGAACAAGAAACACCAGTTGACTTTAAGACAATGACGAAGATTAAAGCTTAAGGGAAAAAAATAAAAGATAAACATCTGAAAGCAGCACCAGATCCTTCACTTGCAAATAAGGCTAGTCCAGTTTAATCTTCTTGGTATCCTCTCTACTTTTTAACATTTTTCCTTACTAATCCATATATTTAATTTCATGTCATATTGGATTTAATCAGACTTTAAAAATTTTCCCTTTAATACCCATATTTAGGCATTAGATATATAGAATATGTATCTATATATAAATATATCTCTATCGCCCATCCTGCTTATATTTGACTGAAAAACACAACCACCAAAATGGACAGTTCAGCAAAAGCGCGTTGTCTGTAATTCTCTGGTGTTGCTTCTGGGCAAACCCTAAGTGATGGTGGAGAATCTAACAGTTCGTTAGGTCTGTACTCTGCTTCTAAATACAAGACATCATTTAGTTTGTAATTCTATCTGTAAAGTCATGGAGATTTTTTTCAGCAATAAACTCAACAATTTGAGAATGCTTTATGAAAAAGAAAAACAGCAAAGTTTACCTCAATTGAAAGAGGGTGAGGGTAGAGTCAGTAACTGATTAACCTAAGACTCCACCTTCCACTCCACTCAGGTACAGGCTTTATGAGACGTAGATCAAGTCAGACAATAGCCTGAGAGTGTGAATTCACAATACTTATAATTTAAATTTTAAAAAAATTATAAACGTATAATTTTATACTTGAGGTCCAAAGTCTTCTACCATAAAATGTTGAGAATTTCAAAAGCTAAATTTTGAAACTATTATAAAATGGTGCCATCCCAAAAGTCAGAAGCCACACATGCACTACAAGTACTTTCTAAAATCATCTTTCACTACAAGTACTTTCTAAAATCATCTTTCTCTTGGTTCATTTTAGGCTTAAGAAATACCAAATAAAATTAAATTCCTTGGGTTTAAGAATTCTGATAATGTTTTAAACAACACCTGACTATAAGCTTCTTTAGGACTCAGTCCACACTTAGTGCATAGTCTCATCTGTAGATGCCCAAATATTTGTCCACCTACTGATAACTGGTCAACACACTCATATCCATACTCTAAATCAACTATGGATGCCATATGTAGACTTAAGCACCACACATTTATTAAGAGCTGACATATTTCGGATGTGAAAAGTCCAAGATTTTTGTTTCTGAATCTTGTTAGATACGTAATGATAACCAATATGTAATTCCTATGGCATGCAAATGAATGAAGTGGGACAAAGCTTCCCCTACAAGAAATAAAACAATTCAAAATATGACATTTCTAAGAATCTAATCTAGGCAGCTGCAGCCTGTTTACTGCATAGAAGTAGGCGTGCTTAACGCATACCTCTTCAGTCTCTATTATGACTACTGGTATCAAGTCACATAAATAAACACACTTCATTAACACACTAGGTAAGCTACAGCTATTAACTCTACTGGAAGTATTCTTCATTAATAGGGCTTTATAGCAAAAGAAAAAGATGATCCTCCAAAACTGCTACCTAATACAGATGATGGCTATTTTTAATACCTTCAATAATGAATGAGTTTCCTTCATATAAATTACTGACTTTAGGATATTTTTAAATGATAAAGAAATACAACCCTCAAAATCATCTTAAAATTGTACTGCTCAAAGCCCCTTCCCCCAATTACTGGCCTATATTAGATTAAAATGTACTTTAAAGTCTTCATTTCTAAGTACCTATCATCTCTGTAGAATAGGTGTTCTCAAACTTACTAAAGAATCAGAGATCTCTTGGTAATGTATCACAAGCTACTTTTATATTAAAATTAAAGTAACTACATAATCTTCTGCTAAACAGATATCTTGTGATATGCTGTAAGAGTGGCAGAAAGTGCCAAAGGCATAATAAAATTTCATGGAAGAAAAATTAATAGTCAGAAAATTCTATCCACCAACTCTCTTTGTTTCCCTGTGAATGTGCTATTATCTGACTTAAGCAAACAAAACTCCTTAAGTCACTATTCAGAAGACCACGACTCTGTTGGAGCAAAGTCCAGGCCTTAGTTATAAAAGACCACTTCAATGCAGAATAGCTTACTGTGGTGCACACAAAGTATGTTATGCTCAAGTTTATTTCTTGGACAATTTTAATCACATCAGTTAGTGCATATATTTTAGGACACATGTTCAAAATAAATACTTTTGCATATAAGGAATCTAATGAAACATTATTCATTTTCCCCCTTGGACAATGAATTTAATACACCAAATTTAAAAATCCCTTTTCTTTTTTCCCCCTAATTTGTGATCTCATGCTTTTCCTCTCAACTTTTCCAATTACAGCTTGTGTTTGATAATCAATATACAGTTTACTTAAGCTTAACTGTCCATGTAACCTAAGGCTCAATAAATCTTTCCAAATTTGACAATTCTCTCATTAAAAAGTACTCCCAGAAATATTAAGAATCCATCTCATCTACCCCAGAAAGAGAACACTGAGATTAGGCTGAACTGCCTTCAAATAATTTTAAACAAATTGGCACACAAATTAGTATTTTGAAGAAGAGGCCATTGCCATCGCAGTGCAAGCACGTGGACTGAGATCCAACAAGGCAATATTCTTCTTAGTTAATTAGAGTGCAAGTCTCCACATGGGAAGCCCACCAGATCAAGATGCACATTTAAATATGTAAACATATAGAATTCTCAAATTCTAACTGACACCCAGGTATTGCTAACCTTTCCATCTTCATTTAAGCATCAAGTGCCCTGTGTATCACAGAATCCAAGTTCAATGTCCATTTTGTCTGACACTGTGGGCACTTAGTTCCAGCAATGGGAAGAGTTCATGCTTGTCTGTTTTAGGATTCTGATAGATTTACCATTTGCTTATATGCAAAATCAAGTGCACCTGATTCTTACAGTCTCCAACAATCAGCATTATTCTGAAACCACAATTTTATCTTCAAAAACTTTACTTAGGTATTTTTAACTTGCATGAACAGTTACTTCACCCTTGCCCAAATTCTGAATCCTTTCTTCCACTGTTTTCTCTTGGGCCCTGAAACCCAGAGAGGCCTTGGCAAGACAGAATTAAAAAAGAAAAAAAAAAAATTCAATAATTAACTGACCAACACCTCTTAAGCTAAAAATACATTAGTTTAAAACCATTCAATTTTAGCAGAGAAGTGCTACACATGTGTAAAAAGCAGGAAACGAACTTCTGGCAAGGTGGCAGAGCAAGTGCTAGAATCATTCCACAGGTCAGCCCTGATAGCTCAAGATGTAGCAGCCCCAGTACCATACATGACAGCAGGTCAGGCAGATCACAAAAGAGGCTTCCATTATTCCCTTCCACCCAAATTCTGACAGCTGAGAAGTTAACAGTTTGCCTTCTCATTTAATCCTCATTGTTAAATTTGTTAAACTATCTTAATCCATAATGGGTAAGAGAGGACCCACATAAAAATATTGGGTGATTACAAGAATAATTTGTGGATAATTTGAAAACAGCCTAACATTCACAGTGGGTAACAGAAAGATATTAAATTCATGTCACACATTAGAAGAGGTATGTATGTAGACATTATTCTGAGAAAAACCGGTCTAAAGAACATGAAAACATCACAAACTGTTAATATAGGGAAAATCCTAATAAGAAAAAAATCTTTTTAAATAGATTGTCTCTAACCAGAACATATTTAAATGTTTTACTCAGAAAACAAACAAACAAACAAAATATATATATATATATATATATATATATATATATATATATATATATATATATAAATGATTTCGTACTGTGATATATGCTGAAAGTAGTGCAAGGATATGAGATTTACAACAAAAACATAATGGTTAAATTTTTAATTCTTAAACATTGTCTATATGTGTTGTAAAAAGACATTTTAATGAGCATTAAAACAATCTTGGAAGAAGAGAAATAATATGTCTAACTTTTGATCATTATGCAAAAACAGCAGTCAAATTGAAGAGCTAAGCCTACTGGGGAATGGAGCTAGAAGAAATATTAAAATCAAGTTTAATTTAGAAAATTCCATTTAGTCAATGCTTCAGCTTAAAAAAATCATGGTATCTTAGCAAAATGACTTACCAAGTTGCTGGAGGAGGCAGCAAGGTAAACATACCTAGAGAAAAAAATTCATTTTGACAGAGGTATGGATTCTAAAGGTAGGGACAGAGACTTGCACACACACACAGCTTCATGGCATCTTACCAGAGGGCTGATCTCTCCTACAACAGCAACACCCAGAATGGGTTTTTAGAAATATCTACTTTCCTCACTAGCACTGTTGGATTCCTAGAGAAAACAAAGCCCTTCGTCCAAGGTTAGTATTAATTGCATTTTTTTCCTTTCATCATTTCTTACTTGTTGGCCCTCAAATGTTAGTTAACTGAAGGCTATCTGGCTACATCCATGTATCTATGGTTTGCTGCTCTGAGATGGACTTAATTTTTCTTCTTCCTCTTTTTTATTTTTGGTATCAATAAAGCCCAGATATTCCTGGTCAGTGATGCCTTTATTATTCCTGTTTCCTTTGTACTCAGTTGCTTCACTGGGTTTAAGGCATGCTTTGTGTATTTAGTTTGCAAAAATAAAACTTTTAGTACAAATTTTTTTTATACAAACTTTTATGGCACAAGCAGCAAATCTGCTGTTTTAAGAAAATATATAAATATCCTTTTCTTCTGTACAAATATCTCCAGTATTCCCTACCCCATTTTATAATTTTAACTGTACATGGTCTGCCTCATCCTTCTCTAATAGCTCCCTCCCCCCCTCCAGATCTCAACCAAATTTATATTTACATTTTTACGTTGGAGGCAGTCAGAGGAGGAGGGCCCCTCCTCAGGAGGAGTCTGTACAGGGAGAGGGTGGCGGTGGGTAGAGGTGATGAGAATAGCTCCTCTCTGTGTATGGAGAAGGTGGGCAGCTTTCATAGTTCTCCTCTGCTGACAAGTATTGGCTTCGGGGTGTGGGAGGTGGGGGCACAGGTTCTGAATCATAGTTCAAGTCACTGGTATAGCCCTTGGCTGTTGCCACTGAGGTCATTCTCCGACTAGGAGCATAGTCACTGTCACAAACATCTGTGCTGCAGGGTGTGGTGGGGGGTGCAAAGTGCCGGTAGCTATATGGCCTGTAGCTGGTATAGGGAGAAAATAAAGAGAAGCAGTTAGTTTTACAAAAAAAAATGATTTCCCCTCTCAGAATAGAGGTATTAGATGTCAACTACCCTATGAAAACAATAAGCTACTGCAATTTAAATTTACACAGACCAAGAGGCAATTTTCAATGGCAGATTCGCTGAGGAAAATAGCAGGTACTTTCTTATTTGCAAATAAGAAAGTGGCAAGTGAAAATGAACAGGATGGGAATGCAGAGGTGAATTCAATCTAGCCTCTGGTTGTGCTCTTACATCTTCAAGTTAAACTGTATCACAGAATAAAAAATGACTATTCAAATTTGTTCTGCAGTTTCATAGCCCATGGGAAGAATGGGTTTTTACATATTTTACACTACTCAAACATGTCAGCATTCCCTCAACATTCTTTACTCCAAAATTAACCTGATGAATAATTAATTTAATGACATCTGAAGTCTTCATTTCTTTCTTCTGTACAATTCTGTACAATTTCTGTACAGTCCAGGCTGGATTTTGGTAGACAGCCTCAGGGGCATAACTATTCCATTGTTGTTATCTTAGCAAAGGGAAATTGCTGTGATTGGGGGAAACGGTTTTCATTCCCTGTGTATAGGTAAGTACCTCTCATAAGAGCAGCTTTAAACATCAAAATGATAAAATTTAAATGCCCATAAAGGGTCAGTGAATTTTCTAATGTATATTTCAGAGGCCTAGTTTATTTCTTACACTTGTTTATCTTTACAAGTGACATACAGTTGTTAGGTTTGTAGCACTGCTAACTAAAGAAAAAGGCATTGGAAAGAGAGAAACATACTAGTGAAAATAAGATCTGACCTAAGTTCTGGCTTTTCTGTCATTCCTACTTCTATTTTTAACTTCTTATACCTGTTTATTCTAAATATGGTAAAGCTGATCTTAAATTTATCCCAAAGATTTTTTCATAAGCTTTCTCATCAAAGTGACTACAAGAGAAGGGGAAAACCAAGTTAAAAACTGATACAACGATTCATAAAACACCTAGTGATACAGAGCACCACCAGGTAATATATCCCAGGAACCCAGGATACAAACCATTTGATATCACTTGGCTTGCTTCAAAAGAAATGGCTGCCAGATTGTTCACAGTCACAGATCAAATTCCTTGTTCTACTCTGTCTCCCCTTCTTACTACTGCATTTGATTAGTCTTTAAAAAAGAAAGAAAGAAAGAAACCAGCCTGGGCACCATAGCAAGACCCCGTCTCTACAAAAAATAAAAAAAAGCTAGCCAGGCGTGGTGACACACACCTGTAGTCCCAGCTACTTGGGTGGCTGAAGCAGGAGGACTGCTTGAGCCCGGGAGGTGGAGACTGCAGTAAGCTGTGATTGTGCCCCTGCACTCCAGCCTGGGTGACAGAGCAAGACCCTGTCTCAAAAAAAATAAAAATAAAAATAAAAAGGGTGCAAGGCTGCCAGAGACCAAAAGTTATATGACCCACTGAGTGAGTTCTCAAAGGCTTTTACTATCAATACTGACATGATGTCACAGTTTGTTTTGTTTAACTCTTTGTCCAATCAGGTGTCAATCCTTGGTGAAATTTCTAAGGTCAACATTTAAAAGTCCAAATACTTCTATTTTCATGAAAAAAAAAAAAGAAAACAAACTGAATTAATAAAATTTTTTCATGTCCCAGTTTAAACCAAAATCTCAACAAATGATGTAAGTTTTGACTCAGAGGAAACAGAAATTGGGCTTATACGGAAAATAGTTAAGCAAGAATAGTTTTTTATGCAATCGTGTTTATTCTGATGAGTGCCTTAGTCAATTTGAATTAAGGACATTACTTTTAAAAAATAAAATTTTGTATCTTTCTCCTTTCTCAATTTTCAGGCTTCTGCTTTTTCTGTTTTGGCTTCCTAGAAGAAGAAACTTGTGGCAGGGAAAGCAACATTACAACATATCATTAAAACAATCAGTTCACAGCCAAGGCTATTTCAGTCTTATCTAAGCTGAAATGAGAATTCTGAGTGAGATACTTTAAGTGGTTTCCACTTCATTTCTACACATGGGTGAGGTCGTATCAGGCCAATTTGACTGAAATGCTAGGAAAGATAATAGAAGATTATCTAGAGAGGATAGAAGATAGAAAAGATTATCTAGAAGATAACAGGCACTTGAGGGATGCCCATGAACCCTGGGCACTTCAGTGTGTAGATAGAAACTCTCAAGCTACTGATGGTCTGTTGGCCTTTCAAGGAACATAGAAGTGGAAGCTGACACAACAGTACTTGACCTGCTCAACACACTTTATAGACTCATAAATTAGCAAAAAGGAATAATTTTCTCTTTTTTGGCTTACAAATACACTTTATTTATTTCAATCTTTCTTTATTCCATGCAACTACATGAGAAATCTTTCACTCCAAATTGTAATAGCATATGCAAGCAATGGCTGAACTTACATTTCTCTCAACTTTTCTAAAATTCTGTGCTCTGAGTATGTTGCTGTTTTAAACTCTCAATTCTATGAACCAATCTTATCCCAATATTTCATTCTTAGAATATCAAACTATTTTGAAACCAGTCACTTTGGTGGGTAATTCCTCCTTAGAATACTGCCAAAGCCTGAGGCTGTATTTTATTATTATAAAAGCCAGCATTTGTGACTCTCTTAAAAAAAAAAAAAAGTATAGGCCAGGTGTGGTGGCTCACACCTGTAATCCCAGCACTTTGGGAGGCCAAGGCAGGCGGATCACCTGAGATCAGGAGTTCGAGACCAGCCTGGCCAACATGGTGAAACCACGTTTCTACTAAAAATACAAAATTAGCTGGGCGTGGTAGCGCAGGTCTGTAATCCCAGCTATTTGAGAGGCTGAGGCAGGAGAATCGCTTGAACCTGGGAGGCGGAGGTTGCAGTGAGCTGAGATCATGCCATTACACTCCAGCCTGGGCAACAAGAGCGAAATCCATCTCAAAAAATTAAAAAAAAAGTATAACGTCCTGAAAGGAAAGGATTTGTGGTAGAGGCAATGTCAGTACTATCAAGATAAGATGACTAGTCTCTCTCTGGTGACCATCGTCTACTCATTTGGGGCTATATCAGGTCCACAACTGAAACACTTTCAATAAATACTGCACCTTATTTTAGAGAAGGATGTGTATTACCTGTATGACCTATGAGTGGAAGGACTGTTTGAAGAATATCCAAATTCCATAGTGTAATGTGATCGCTCTGTGGCTGGGGATGGTGGAGGGTTCAAAATCTAAAAGAAAAAAATAATTAAAATATTAAAATAACAACATAGAAACTATCAGACTTTCTTTCAACTTTTCTTCCTTCATCTCTATTAGTGTTTCTTTACAATACACTATTAGCACAATTCTTCTTTTCCAAAGAATTGACCTCAAACAGTACTTTGGGACTATGGCTTCCTCATTCCCTAAGACCTCATCATGGCTAAAAAGTGCAAAGTGACAAAAACGAAAATCTGTAACCTAAAAATCATTGGTCAGTACATTTAGGTCCTGGTTATTTAAAATAGTAAGTATTTAGAGAAAAATTATTGATTTAGGAGAAATTCCAGGTGTGCTTCCTCTTTTGGGAAGTCATAAAATGAAGGCCCTAATCCCTCAATAGGTACCATTCAGTAGTTCTACTTTTACTTGAAATGTGAAATTAATGCCCAGTGCTTTCAAGTATTCTGGTTACTACACAGTAACTTAAAAGATTTATAAGCATGGATGGTGGTGTGTGGTAAGTCCTTTGAGCCTTTTATGCCTAAATTTTACATTCAAAAACTACTTTTACATTACTATCACTGATCACCCACATTTAAATGAGTTAAAAAATCTAAGATCTTATGTATGTCGCATTCAAAGGAAAACAGACTACTTACTGCAGGGAAGTAAGTGCCTTTGGTGCTTGAAGAACTACTTGATGATGCTCCTGTAACATGGGCTCGGTCATAGGGGGGTCCACTGCTTCCCCCCATGATACTGAGGGAGCTGATCATTGATTTACCTCGAGACATTCCTAAAATAAAAGGAGGTTAAAAACTGAAGATGAGTATGATATATAAAAATGTATCAAGCAATTTCATTCAACAGTAGGATTACAAATATCAACAGTGAAGTAGTCTGATTTTAAAATAACTTACACTCTTTTCCTATAATTGAAAACATTTAATGGAGAAAGGAAATGAACGTTTTCTAGAAGTCAATGCTTCCATTGAAAGAGCTGGCCTAGAACAAGGCCAAGAATAGCTCCCACCTTCTCCCTCCCCTGGTAGAAGCAGAGCTATTTAAAATAAGGGCTTTTCAACCTCTTGGAGGATTTGAAAGGATTGTAAAGGGTAGAGGTTGTGAGGCAGGGCATATTAAATACCAGACTTGCTCAAAAGAAAACAAAAAAACATTTTTAGGGCACAAACAACATATGAAAGAATATTTTTTCATCTAATGAATATAAATGTTGCTAGAATCAAAACTACCAGTGCTAAAGAAAAAATTCTATTTTTTCCAAGAAGCTTCCCAAATTCCACTAACTGAAAATAGGTATGGCAACAAAGCAACACTACCATTAACAGTTTAAAAACCATGTTTGTCTACTTAAGAGTTACACCCATAGTAAGTTCCTATTTTCAGAGGGTTTTTGCAAGGCACCGCCTTCTCCATATTCATTAAAAGGAAGGCGTCTTTTAACTAAGGGCACCAGAAAACATTAAAAAGAAGGCCAGTTCCCTAGAGCAACACGGCCTACCCAAGCTTAAAACTTCTGGCTACTCAGCTATGCCTAAACTAGCCCTTTGTCCCTTATTAGCACATGAAGTCAGGAGAAAACTTAAGACATATTCTCCCTTCTATCATCCAGCTATTTACAAATCTTTGTTGGCTGAAGGGAATCTTATATAATTTTTGGCCTCCTTTTATTCATGGGCTCCATAGTACTAGAGTTCCCTGGTGGTGAACTTAACCTGTGGTTTACAACTCTTTCACTAAATGACTGGCTGATTCACCTTCCGTAGCATGCATCCAGAATTGCAGTCAGAGAGGCTTAGAGCTTGCATATGTATTTGCTTTATATGCTTTGACAATTTCTACCAAACCATATCTAAGGCCTTCTGTGTAAAGAGAAGGTGCTAATAGTAAAAAAGAACGTTTGTCCTTATAATTGTTTAAACTCAGAGTAATATGGTTTCAGACAGACTCTAGGTAGTATTCTTTTCCACAATGGAAACTGGCAGTCTTGCAGGACCAAAGACTTGATTCTCAATGGATCCATCCTGACTCACCTGGAAGAGATCCTGACAAAGAACTTGGGTGTGGCACATAACCAAGAGGCACAGAAGCTGGTCCATGAACTACATAGTCATTAGTCATAGTTTCCCCATCTCCCTTCATACGTGGACACAACATCCTCTGGCAGATAAAGTATACAGTTCCAGACACAAAAATGGTGACAATTACGCCAATAACAGAACCAACTGTATTGGTGGCCTGTGGTGCTGGTTCTTCAGTCGGATCTACAATGAAGAATGCAGTATGGTTATTTAATAGAAAAACAACTGTATATTCAAAATAGTAATCAAAAGAGGGCTTGCTAATAGGATGTGAAGCTATAAGCCTAATGAAGATAATTCATAAACACTTTTCTTTTTTATGAGTACATACATACCACGCCCTGAAGACATATGAAATAAATGTCATCATTAGGAATCAAAATGAACTACCCTTAAATGAAGACAGAAATAAAACAATAGGTTGGAAAGTGTAATTGTAAACAGATAGAAACAAAGATGGTAAATGAAGTACAGATTTAAACACCATTAAGAAGCTTTAAATAAATAAACAGATAAAATCCATTCTACTTCATTCTATATACCATACAAATGAACAACGGTATTCCAAGATTTCGGGAAAAAATTTATGACCAGAAGGGATAAACCTAGAAAAGTCATCAAATGTTTTACCTGGAATGGTGAAGAAGCCAAAATCAGCTCTGAGCACATGTTAGATTTTAGATTTGAATAGTGACATTTAGGCCTGATGAATGAAAACTGGAAGCTAAAGATAAGCCTCAGCTCTCAAATCCCCTATGCTGCTGGCCTTCAGGCTGTCTAGTTGCCTGAGACCAAGGAACATAAGGTCTTTAATACCTGATTACTGGAGGACTCACAAAGAAAGGCCACATTGCCAGAAGAGGACACCACCCCAGGGATTCACCTTCCCTGGATCCCTGAGCTACCCGTTTAAGAAGCAGAGGGCATCAATATCAGAGGTAGAGGGAAAGTGAGCTTATTGAAATTAGAGCATTACTGTCTCTATTCAGAGGGAAAATTCTTCCATTCTGAACAGTTAAATTTTATCTCACAGTTGCAGATCCTTTAAAAAACTTCCTCCTGCTTCATCTTACCTCAAATCTCCCATCCATATAGCTAAACTCATCCTCTGACAGATTATATGAAAGAAATGCGTGAAAATGACATCTCTAAGTTACATAATATGTAGGGATTATCATTTACAAATTTAGTCTGTGGAATCTGAAGCATAGACTCTTCTTAGTCCTTGAGAACAACCGTCTCATCTTTTCATTCCTTTTTAGTCCCCTAACATTCCTTTGCAATGCCAAGCTTCAGGAAAGAAAAGTTTACATTCACTACCCTCAATCCCTAGCCTCTGGGTCACACCATAAACTCCCTGAAATCAGACTTCCACCCTCACCACTGCACTGAAACTTTTCTGTCAACAGTCAAAGTTCTACTATTTGCCATATTCAATATATTCATTTCACTAACCTCTTTACACAATACTGCTGGCTCCTGTCTTCTCTTTAAAAAAAAGTCTGATCAATATTCTTCCAAGATACCACTCTCTTAATTTTACTATTTCTGATTATTCTTTCTCTGCTTCCTTTGTTGGCTTCATTCTCTTCTGCCTGCATCTTAAGTGCAGGTGCTTCCCAGAGAGATTTCTATCTATCACCTACTATTTTCCTCCTCTTCTTACTGTCCTGGGAGATTCTATCTACTGTCACAGCTTTCATTATTATCAATAAACTAATGAGCACCAAATCTCTCTTCTGAGCCACAGTTCCTTATAATCAACTTCCTGAAGAGCTTCAGTGGGATATTCCATGAGTACCTCTCAGGCAACATATCACAAACTGAACTCACTGTCACCATGATCAGTCATTTCTCCTAGATTCCAGGGGTAAAGACACCATAAATAAAGTCATCTAGTATAAGATAATAAAAAGTGATGGGGCTTGTGGCAAAGTACACGCCTGCCTAAAGGCATTTAATGTAAATTAAACATCACATCAATCAAACATTACATCTGCAGCCAAGATGTGGTATGGTACTTTGGTTTTCAGTTCCTGCTATATATCCCATTTAATGACTCCAGTCACTCAGTGAGGTACCTGTGGGTCAACTTAAACTTATCAACTATAGCTAAGTGGTTACCAATTCCTCTTTATTCTACTTCTGAAACAACTCCGAAATCTGTTCTCTCCCTGCCACCCCCACTCCTCCTCCTCATGATTTAGATCTTTATCATCTTCTGCCTAAACTCTAATCGCTTCCTTTTTAAATTACAGGCTGCAAGTCATTCGTAAATGGTGAGAATGATTTAGTGGGTTACAACCAGCTTTGAAAAAATAAAACAGAAAATGTCAGAAAGTGTTCTATATAACATGGGTAAATATTTAAGTGTTGTGTGACACCTTTTTAAATGCATGAGCTCACATCTCTGTATTCCTCTTGATGCGATCAGAAGTTTGAAAGCAATCAATCTAACAGATTTCCCTGCCTATAAGCTTATCACCTCCAACCCACTGGCTTTACAACTTCTGTATTGCTTGACCATGCTAGTCTTTTTCTTGAAATTTTCAGTGACTCTCCACTCCCCATTGTTAATATTGTCTAGGCTCTTTAGAAGAAAAGCATAGTCCTCCATGATTGTACCTTTACCTATGTTATCTCTTGCTGACACCCCTCAACAGAGCCTGTATTTTGGCAGTCCCATTACATGGAGTTTCCCAGAGGTGCCTGTTTCACTCTTTTCTGCTTTTGAACAGTATATTCCCTCTGCCCAAAATGAAATTTCTCCAATTATCTACATGATGAACACTATTCATTGATCAACACCCAGTCTTTTTTTTCTTTTTTTTTGAGATGGAGTCTCGCCCTGTCGCCCAGGTTGGAGTACAATGGCACGATCTCGGCTCACTGCAACCTCCACCTCCCGGGTTCAAACGATTCTCTTGCCTCAGCCTCCTGAGTAGCTGGGATTACAGGTGCCCGCCACCACGCCCAGCTAATTTTTGTATTTTTAGTAGAGACGGGGTTTCACATGTTGGCCAGGCTGGTCTCGAACTCCTGACCTCGTGATCTGCCCACATTGGCCTCCCAAAGTGCTGGGATTACAGGTGTGAGCCAGCGCACTGGCACAACACCCAATCTTAAATACCATTTTTCTAAGATGCCTTCCTTGATCAAGTCCATCTTTGTCCCTAATAAGCTGACTACTCTCTCATTTCTACTGCCACCTGTGTAGATTTCTATTACAGCACTTATACTCCATAATCAATGTATCTACTATGAACCAGGCTATGTGTTTTTTAGGCTAAATGATATATATGTTAAATCATTTAATTTTCTTATAGGCATCAGGTTAAGCATCATTCTCTTCATTTTGAAGATGAAGACCTGTAATTCCAGCACTTTGTGAGGCCAAAGTGGGTGGATTGCTTAAGTTCTGAATTGAATTCAGACCAATTGAATTCTTTTCTTTTTTTTTTTTTTTGAGACGGAGTCTTGCTCTGTCGCCTAGGCTAGAGTGCAATGGTGTGATCTCGGCTCAATGCAACCTCCGCCTCCTGGGTTCAAATGATTGTCCTGCTTCAGCCTCCCAGTAGCTGGGATTACAGGCATGCACCACCACGCCTGGCTAATTTTTGTATTTTTAGTACAGCTAGGGTTTCACCATGTTGGCCAGGCTGGTCTCGAACTCCTGACCTCAAGTGATCCGCCCACCTTGGCCTCCCAAAGTGCTGGGATTACAGGTGTGAGCCACCACGCCCGGCTGATTTCTATGTATCTAAATGATTTGAGAATTTTGTAACTTTGGTTATAGTAAAATAATATTTACTCTTTTCTAGTGCTTTACTAAATGTTTCTGTGAAGATTTCTGTGCATAAGAAAACTGCTATGTTTAAAGAATTACTGAAAGCAAAACATAAAAAAACCTTCACACAAATAATTAGCTTAATATTAATACTTATTACTTAGAAAGGAAATCTCGATAAGTAAACCTCACACATAAGAAAAAAAATTGTTTAAATTCTCTGTTAAGAGTAATTTATAGATCTCAGTCCTACTTACAACAATCCAGTTCATCTGACTTGTCACTGCAATCCACATTATGATCACACTTCTTGTGCTTTCCAATGCACTGACCATTGGCACAGCGGAACTGATCAATTAAACAAAGCACTGGAAAAAAAACATAAATAGTTTCCTTATTTTTAATATCATGTAAAGTCAAACTCTGGCAAGAATCAAAAGGTGCCTTCTGAACACAAATGAAAAACAAATTAGACTTTTAGCTATAACTTAAATATTATTCTCTGGAGTTCCATTGGTTGAGAGAGAGAAAAAAGAGTAGGAGAAAAAAATCCAGCAGGAAATTTCCTAACATTTTTTTTTTTTTTTTTTTTTTTTTTTTGAGACGGAGTCTTGCTCTGTCGCCCAGGCTGGAGTGCAGTGGCGCGATATTGGCTCACTGCAAGCTCTGCTTCCCAGGTTCACGCCATTCTCCTGCCTCAGCCTCCCAAGTAGCTGGGACTACAGGCGTCTGCCACCAGGCCCGGCTAATTTTTTTGTATTTTTAGTAGAGATGGGGTTTCACCGTGTTAGCCAGGATGGTCTCTATCTCCTGACCTCGTGATCCGCCCGCCTCGGCCTCCCAAAGTGCTGGGATTACAGGCGTGAGCCACCACGCCCGGCTTATTCTTTACATTAAATTCCCTCTTTCACTAAAGAATTCTAGAGAACTTGGCTGGGTTGTTTTTACCATGGGAAAAGTTAGTAAGGGAAAGTGAAGAATATAAAATATGTTAGAGCGTAATTAATAAATCCACTAATTCAGAGCTCATTGGAAACAGGGACTATTTTTATATACTGAAGGCCTAATATATTTTAGTTTCATTTCTCAATTTTCAAAGCTTATTAATTTGTATAAATCTTATGCATATGGAGTGAATTAAAACAATAATATGGAACATGGCACTATGATCAGAAGTGATACAGTCATATGTACTTGAAAAACCCCAACTGACACTAAGCCAAGTAATACTGAAGTTTAAACAACTGAATGGGAAAAAAGGATTGCATGCTGAGGCACTGAAGAATTCTGGATACCTTCACAGTTCTTCTCATCTGATTTGTCCTGGCAGTTTGCATCTCCATTGCATCGGAGGGCACCATCAATACACTGCCCACTGGCACACTGGAACTGGGACTCTGAGCATACAGGACAATTGAGTTCATCACTGTGGTCTTCACATTCAGTAAACCCATCGCACCGCCAAGCCACAGGGATACAGTCAATTTCCCCCGTGAAACAAGTAAACTGCTGAGGAGAACATGTTGGAGGTTCTTCAAATGAACAAGGAGAAGGGGAGTGACAAAAACACAATCATGGTCACACAGAAGTACAAACACATACCTGAGTGAAGCTCATTTAATAATTAACATACACAAAATACTTTATAATAAATATGATTTATAACTATCTCATCTATTCAAAGAAGAAATAAAGGTTTTCACATTACTTCCTTTACATTCACTATAAACTTTTGCCCGCAAAACTATAAGGCAAAAGTTTTTTCATATCTTGTAATCCAAAACAGGATTGTAATATTTGCAATCCGTTACAGTCTCACACAAAACCTAGGAATAATCAGTATAATTACCAAAGACTTTAAAGTTAGCCTAGCACTCAAAAGTTTTCTAGCTCTAAGCTTCTCAAAGGATAGTCCATGAACCCTTAGGCGTTCCTGAGACCTCTTTCAGGGGACCCACTAGGTAAAAACTATTTTTATAATAACATTAAGATGTCATTGCTTTTTTTTGGCTATCTTTGCACTGATGCTGCAAAAGAAATAGTGAATAAAACTTGGTACCTTAGCAGACTCAGGCAAATGACAACAAACTTTATTAGTAATCACTGTACTATACACAGCCACATGTGCACAGTTTAAACAAACACACAAAAAGACCAATTTCACTTAAGAATGTTATTGATGAATCAATAAAAAATTATATTAAAATCAACCCAAGTGTATGCCTCTTTAATAGTCTGATCAATCAAATGGCAATTATGCATAAAGCTCATGTTGCAAACCTAAGTGTGGTAGTTTCTAATGGGAAAGCATTTGTTTTGAGTTGTAAATCCAACTCAAAATGGAATGTCATTTTTACTTGAAAGAATGACTGACAGGTAAATTATACAGTAGTTATTTACACTTGTCTGTTAGTGAATTATCTAGAGAACCCATAACCTTATGATGTGACCATAGGTCAGAAAACCCTGTAACTTTACAACAGAGAATATTGCAGATTACAGGTGAACATTTTACATGGGGAATTTTAGGGATTATTTAATAAGAGCCTATTATGTATTCAGCACTATACTATCTATATTGTATGGAGAATTAAAGTAGATAAAATATATCCACGTCCTTAAAGCAGTTTGAATTTGGTTGGGGATAGAAAGAAACTAATAAACATAAAACAAAGGACACTACTTTGAACTGCATGTCATGCAAACCGTGTGATATAGTTTGGATATTTGTCCCTCCAAATCTCATGTTGAAATGTAATCCCCAATGTTGGAAGTGAGGCCTGGTGGGAAGTGTTTGGATCATGGGGGGTAGATCCCTCATGCCTTGGTGCTATCCTCCTGATAGTAAATGAATTCTTGGGAGAGCTGGTTGTTTAAAAGTGTGTGGCACTCCCTCTAGCCTACTCTCTCTCTCTTGCTCCCTCTTTTGCCATGTGACCTGCCTGCTCACTCTTCACCCCCGCCATCAAAGTTTCCTGAGGCCTATCCAGAAGCTGAACAATACAGCCGGCAGAACCATGAGCCAATTAAACTTTTTCTTTATAAGTTACCCAGCCTCAGGTATTTCTTTATAGCAATGCAAGAATGGCCTAATACACAGTTGTATACATCTGTCAAAACTCGTTTTAATACATACATTAAAAATAATTGCTAAATGTGCAAGCAAGAAAAAAGGCCCTTTAAAAGATATTTTCAAACTGGAAGATGAGATCCTTGACTCAGTTTTATCCATGTTATCATTAACATAAAGAGAAATTTTTCTAGGATTTGCCTCAAAGTAACACTCCAGCACCCTGATAGGGAAACACATGCTATTTTTTGGGGGGGGGGGGGGGGGAGGGTAAAGTAACCATAAAATTGACCAATTTAACCACTTTAAAGTGCATAGCTCAATGACATTAAGTACATTCACATTATTGTGCAATCCCTATTTTTAAAAATTTCAAGTACCAGAGCTTAACTCTTTGTACATATCTGATTTCCCTGACTACGCTGTATGCTATCTCAAAGATCTTCAAATCCCCTACGGTCCAAGCACAGTGCCCATAGCTGCTACTGAATACATGCATTATTTATTTTTTAAAAAACTTATAGTTCGACGAATAAAATTTACTTGTAATCCCACCCACCCGATCAACAATTTTTATATGTTGAATACATATTCTCTTTCAATATTTGTTTACAGAAATATATATTTTATGTACTTGTCATTTTGGCAACATTTTTACATCAACTTCATGATTATAACATTTAATAGCTGTATAAACTCAGTTATTTTACTTAATAATTTTCACACCATTAGAAATTCATTTAAAAATTTCTGCCACTGTAGATAATAGTATGATGTAGTCTTTTTCCTTCAGTTGAATTAACTTAGAATTATCCCCAAAAGGAGGATATCTGAATTAAGGGTATGAATACTATTGTGGTGCCTGATACCATCATACTATAATTTAACAATGGAATGTATCTATTTGTTAAACCTGCTAAGTGATTAAACCAATTTTACTACAACAGTATCACTATACTCAGTGATATCTTTTAAAAAATCATTTTTTACTAGATAAAGAAGCAACAGGAATTTGCTGATGGATTTGAACAAAAGAATATTCTTTCCATCAGACACATTCCCAACAATGACACATAAACTTAGAGAATCTACAATTTAGTGGAGAGAGATTACAGGAGGTAGAATTAATTCATTTTTTTACCTTTTGGGAGAGGGGGGAGGCTACTTTAATATTAGGAAGCATACTCATTCACAGGCTGAAAAGTGTGGTAATATATACGCAGTGAAATACTATTCAGTCAAAAAAAGTAGGAAATCCTGTCATTTGCAACAACACAGATGAACCTGGAAGTCATCCTGTTAAGTGAAATAAGCTAGGCATAGAAACACAAATACTACATGATCTCACACGTGGAGTGTAAAAAAGTCAAAGAAACAGAGTAAAATGATGATTATGAGGCTGGGCAGGGTGGCAGAGAAGAATAACAGAAAAGCCTAGTACAATACAAATGAATGGAACACACGCAACCAATTAAGTTAGTAGACAGAGCAACTTCAATGCCTAGTCATAGAAGTCTAGGCTTAAGATATGGAATATGTTTGCATTTAGGGTTGCACAAGAAAATTACAACATATTTACCTCCACATGATAGCTCATCTTGAAGTAGAACCAGGTGCATGGGGCAAGAACACCTTGTAGTACCATCCCCCTTTACAAGACAAATATGTGAACAGCCACCATTATCCTGAGCACAAGGGTGCTGTCCTGCAAAGAGAAGAGGTGAGGATGGGGAGAGGAGGGGGAGTGGAGGGGGAGAGAAGTGGGAGAGAAGAGAAAAAGGGACAACCCTGTCAAAACTATTTATGAAAATCAAATGTATAATCAGCTTGGACTCTTTTTTTTTACTTTTATTATTATTATTATGGACTTTTTTTACTTTTATCATTATTATTATTATTATTATTATTATTATTTTGAGACAGAGTCTTGCTCTGTAGCTCAGGCTGGAGTACAGTGGTGTGATCTTGGCTCACTGCAAACTCTGCTTCCCAGGTTCAAGTGCTTCTCCTGCCTCAGCCTCCCGAGTAGCTGGGATTGCAGGTGACTGCCGCCATGCCTGGCCAATTTTTCCGTTTTTAGTAAAGATGGAATTTTACCATGGTGGTCAGGTTGGTCCAGCTTGGACTTTTATTTCCACACAATATGATTCTTCACTCAATCTCTACACAACCTACAAGAAACTACTTCTATCTAACCACTGTCCTTATATATTTATATATAAAATATTTTAAGATAATGGTAAAGCTCATCTTAATTTTTGTGAATATGAAGAAATGTTTACTGAAACTAAAAAATTGCTAGGGAGAGGCCGGGTGCGGTGGCTCACGCCTGTAATCCTAGCACTTTGGGAGGCTGCGGCAGGTGGATTGCCTGAACTCAGGAGTTCAAGACCAGCCTGGGCAACACAGTGAAATCCCGTCTCTACTAAAATACAAAAGAAATTAGCTGGGTGTGGTGGCATGCACCTGTAATCCCAGCTACTCGGGAGGCTGAGGCATAAGAATTGCTTGAACCTGGGAGGCGGAGGTTACAGTGAGCCAAGATAGTGCCACTGCACTCCAGCCTGGGCGGCAGAGCAAGACTCCATCTCTACAAAAAACAACAACAAAAAATTGCTAGGGAGAATGCTGAAACTTGAGTATTATTCTATTTAAAATATAAGAATTCTCCTATATTAAGATTTTTAACTCAGAAAATCCGTATATCTGAAAGACAACTTCAGTCAAAAAGTGTATCTTAATGAGGAATCCATTGAGAATTAAAGAGTTATTAGAAGAAAAAAACTTAAAAGGCACATGTAACAGAACAATTCAGAAACAAAATTATTTGGTCAACTGCAAAAGGTAACTTGTAATACTATAAATGTCTAACTTCCTCATACATGGGCTAAGTAAAGAAACCACTAGGCAACTTTTCAAAGTCTGTTTCACAAGTTGTATTTTTAAAGAATCATTGTTTGGAATTTTCTGTTTAGCCTGTATTAAAAGCAACTTGACATCTGTCGTCACAAAATATGAACATCTAATATAAGCCACCATTTATTATTTGACTCTCTTCCACAATAACATTGGTTCTGCTTCAGTTTGTGTTGAGACTGAGGGAGTCAGCTATCTACAAATGAGCATACTGTCCAAAACAGACATCACACATTATATAGAATATACAGTCTATGTAGCAGTGTTTCTCAACCTTTAATTCCATGACATTTTTGATAAAAATCCCATTCTCTTTAATATTAGAAATTTGAAAAAATGATTTACCTAATATACAATCATATTTAAATAGTTATTAAATAAAACCTCTCCCTTGAAATTCTGAAAATCTTGAGATTTTCTGTAATAAAATATTCATGTATCGACTAAATAAATAACTTAGGTATGATATCATTATCATATTTCTATTAAATGTTCAGCCTGAGCTACAAGTCATACCATAAAATGACAACAATTTTTAACTTTCTAATTCTCAATTACTTGTAACTTTACTTCTAAATTCATGAACTGTACCAACATAATGAACACTTGTACAGGGCTACTCCTGTTTCTTCATTCTCCTTTCATGCTTAAATTCAATTTAAAAGCACTGAGCTGAGAAGTTACAGAATTTCAATAATTGTCTCTCTCATACTCAATTTAACATTGGCATCCCCGGTACCATCATGTATGATCAACAGTAGTGACTGCTAGGAAGGCACTTTTTAAAAAACGTTTTGCATATATAAACTCATTTATTCCTCTCTATGATTAGGGTAATTTTGATGACAGATATGAATTAAGAACTAGGCCAAGATGACTAGCCATTTTCAAAAAAAAATAAGAAAATATTTCTGGCTACTTTTCTTTTTTCCTGGGGCTCATGGAGATGGCTATTTTTCTAAGCTGGGAATTGAAATATTTATCCCAAAGGGGGGGAAAAAAACCAAGCACCTACTAATTAAACAGAGTCTTCTCTATGTTTACACACTAATTTTTAGTTTGTTTTGCCTAAGAATAAGATTAACCCATTATAACTATATTCATCATTATATAATTTTTACTTTTTTTCAAGCTATGGGGGGAAGTATAGAGAGGGAAGAAAAGAAATAGATGCTTTATGTTATCAGTATTCCCAAAGGAACTGAAGGAGAGAAAAACAAGGCATGATAAGCAGTCATTGTTGTACCAGGAAATATTCTTTTTTAACAGGCAAGACCCATGCCTTTCCCCCATTTCTGGTTTATGAGATTATGTTTAATTTGGAAAAGCTCCCGGGTAAGGTTGACATAAGGCTTTAAAAGCATGAAGAGGCTGGGTGTGGTGGATCACACCTGTAATCCCAGCACTTTGGGAGGCCAAGGTGGGCAGATCACTTCAAGTCAGAAGTTCGAGATCAGCCTGGACAACATGGTGAAACCCTGCTTCTACTAAAAATTAAAAAAAAAAAAAATTAGCGAGGCATGGTGGCATGCACCTGTAATCCCAGCTACTCTGGAGGCTGAGGCATGAGAATCACTTGAACCCGGGAGGCAGAGGCTGCAGTGAGCCAAGATCGTGACACTGCACTCCAGCCTGGGCGACAGAGTGAGACTCCGTCTCCAAAAAAAAAAAAGCATGGAGAGTTCAAAAAAATGGCAAAACTAAAAGTGCATGAAAGTCTTCAAGGAAACAGAGTTTAAAAATCCACAAAAGTACATATTAATTTATTATAACACATGATTCCTCCAATTAGCTTTATCCCATTAACACTTACTGTATTCTTGAAGGTTCAGCTCCTTTACTGCATGAATGTCACTAAGCTGGGCAATTCGAGCTTGGACTTTGGTTCTACCCTCTCGACCTGTCATGTCAATTTTTTCAATCATTTGCTGCTGTTTATCAATCCAATAGAGCCAGTTTTCAAACACAGTAAGTCCCACAGGCTGCAAGATATTGGAGTCTTCTAATACTATCCGGTTAGCACCTTGGAAAAGGAGAAAATTCAACAGAAATGACTCATGTGGGTCAAGTTATACTTTTGGTAATTATTTACTGACTACCAGTTAGATTCTACAGGTAGAGAAAAGAAAAAAAAAACAAGATCTCTACCACAAAACTTAAAAATCATGGTAAGACATACACTAGAAAACAGCCAATAAACTAGATATTAATATGCAATCAAGAGCAAGTAAGTGCCCAATGTGCAGTAAATATTCTAGTTCATAGAAATGTAGAAAAGAACTTAGAACAGTAGTTTGAAAAACCCTAACTTATATATACAACAGATAAAAATGGCACTTCTCTGGAGGAGCAGTGGTGGTGGACCCAGAGTTCTGAGTATACCTGAGGCATTTATGAAGAACAGCTTCACTCTCACCCCACCTGGCTTCTCAGAACACAATTAGAAAAAATGACTGACTCACCCCAAGGTAAGAATTATTTCTAATCATCTCAGACATAGAGTCATCCAGACTCTGAGGAGGCAACTTCTGCTATTGTTGCACAGTGAGAAAGTTCTTTTATACAGTGGGCTAAAATCTGTGTTCATACCCCCCACCCTGCTTTATTCAGTTTCTCCCTCACTCAAAAAGAAAAAATATACTCATTCCTTCTTTTTCATAACAGTCCTTCAAATATTTATAGAAAGTTCACGGTTCCTAAGTCATGAGTTCAGTCAAACAAAGACATTAGCTGATATTTTGGAAGTATCAAGGAAAGTTTCAGGAAAGAGGCAAGCAAAATGCCAACTTTTTAATAAATGAAGAAAAGTGGGGAGATATTCCAGATGGGAAGGCATTGCCTGAGTCAACATTCAGATGGTAGGCTAAGCACAAGTTTACTTATATATTCTCTCCTAAAACTCTACTAATATGGTGATTGAAAAAATTTTAGGCCGGGTGCAGTGGCACACACCTGTAATCTCAGTAATCTGGGAGGCTGAGGCAGGAGGATCACGTGAGCCTAGGAGTTCGACATCAGCCTGGGCAACATGGCAAAATGCCATCTCTACAAAAAATATAAAAATTAGCCAGGCATGGTGGCATGCGCCTGTAGTCCAGGTACTCAGGAGGCTGAGATGGGAGAATTCCTTGAGCCAGGGAGGTCAAGGCTGTAGTGAGCCAAGTTCACACTGCACTGCAGCCTGGGTGACAGAGTGAGACCCTGTCTCAGGAAAAAAAAAAGAAAGAAAGAAAAAGAAAATAATTTTGAAGGTATAAACCCATAAGGACAAAGAAGGCAGAAGAACAGAAGAGAGCAGGAAAGTGATATAAATTTTGGAAGCTGGAGAATAGATAGACCAGGGATAATGACACAGTAGCCCAGAGAAAGCTAAAGGCCTACAGCCAGTGAAGCTAACAATGAAATTAATTAGCTCAGAAAGTGGAAGCACCAGGTATTTTAGAATGGAACAAAGGTAGGAGTTATGTGGCTGGGGCTGAAAGAGGAGTACTAATTGAAAATATGTGTAAGAAATTACACAGCAATGTTCTCAGTATTTTTAAGCCTCATACTAAATACAAACAGCTAAGGATCACCAAATATTTAAAGAAAACCTCTATCTTTAAATTTGAAGCCCAAGACAAACACAACAAAGGAACTTGGAGAAAAAGACACAAAAGCAGAAGAAAACAAATAAATACCAATTAAAAAAAAAACAAAAAACCTAAAGAATAGGCTGTCTTCAGAGGGGCAGAGCATTTGGAGAACAAAAAAGAGCCCTTGGAAATTAAAAACATGATATCCAAAAATTTCAAAGAAAAATGCAACAAGAGGGTTGGGAGACAAATTTGAGAAGCTCTCCTCAGAAAGTATAACAAAAACACAAAGAGATGGATAATAGGTGAGAAAAATACAGCTACAGTCAAGAAGGTTCAGCATAAAAATAAAAAGCTCCAAAATAGGAAAATGAAAAATAAATTATCAAAGAAACAACACAAGAAAACATTCCAGAATTTAAGGTGTAGACTTCTAGACAGAAAGGATCAACCTAGTAACCAGTTCAATGAGAAGGAAGGGAAGGGGAAGGGAAAGCACGAGCATAGATTTTAAAAATCTTTTTTTTTTTTTTTTGAGACGGAGTTTTGCTCTTTCGCCCAGGCTAGAGTGCAGTGGCTCAATCTCGCCTCACTGCAACCTTCACCTTCCGGTTTCACGTGATTCTCCTGCCTCAGACTCCTGAGTAGCTGGGATTACTCGCACCCGTCACCATGCCAGGCTAATTTTTGTATTTTTAGTAGATATGGGGTTTCACCATGGTGGCCAGGCTGGCCTTGAACTCCTGACCTCATGATCTGCCCGCCTCAGCCTCCAAAAGTGCTGGGATTACAGGCGTGAGCCACTGCACCTGGCCAATTAAAAAAATAAATCTTAAAACAAAACATTAGCATATCAAATCCAGCAATAAATAAAAAGAATGTACCATGCTAAATTTTATTTATTCCAGCAAACTGAGAAAAGAAGTTAAATTCCTTAATTTGACAAAGGTTATCTACAGAAAAACCTTAGCAAAGAATACTTAATCACAAAGTATTGAATGCTTCCCCCAAGCTCAAGGGGAAAAGGACTAGAAAGGAAGAAGAAGGGAAAGAAGGGGAAGGAGAAGGGGAAAAGAAGGGAATGATGAGAAAGGGGAAGAGGAAAGGGCTGGGGGAGGGAGAGTGGAGAGAAAGAAAAAAGGAAAGAAGGGAGGAATCAAACAAAGGCACAGTATCAAATTCTAGGACATTGAGGGGAAAGAACATGTTAAAAGCTTCTGGAGGAAAAAGGAAAAGGACAGCATACAAAGACTGAAATCACAGTCACATCAAACTTCCCAATGACACAAGATGCTCAAAGACAATGGAGTTCTATTTTCGAAATTCTGAGAGAAAACAGCTATAAAACATGAAAGCAAATTATCAACCAAGTGTGAGGAGGAAAAAAAATTCAAACAAGATCAAGAATTTTAACCTTTTATGATGAGCCCCTTTCAAGAAGCTGCTAGAAAATGGTCTCTCTTAAGAAAACCAGAAGAAATGGAGTCCAGGAAATAGCAGGTTCAGCATCTGTATACTCCCAGGACAATGGAGAAATGAAGTTAGCCTAGAAACCAAGCAAATCCAGACTGCAGCAAGATGATGAAGAAACCCAGAGATGTGATTTTAATTATGAAGACAAATAGATGGACTGCTTGATGCATATCCATTTATTGAAACAATATTTACATTACACAAGTATTAACTCTGCAGGGAGGAAAAAAGTTTTAGAAAGAAATGTACCTAACAGTAATATGTTCATAGCCATAAATAATAAGTAATTAAGTCTAGACTTAAAAAAATTATGGCACTAGTCACAGGTGGGTCCTTTCTATCTGCAAACTTGTGCCTCGAATTCTGGAAAGTTCATAACTATGCTGGGGAGGATGGAAAGAAAATTCACACGTGTATTTTGGCGACATATGGTTTAAGATAGCAAAATCTTTATCTTCCAAAGGAAGTCAATGTTTAACGTCTAAAAGAGAAAAATCAAGAAATAGCATTTTTAAGCAAGTTTATTTTAAAATAAGTGAAAATAGTTGTGAATGCTTCTAAGCATGGGAACTGAGAGCAGCAGAGTAGAGCAGTAGGCTTGTTTTTTGTTACAAGCCAGGTAGAACAGTTTGATATCCATAATATTTACATGTATTACTTTAATGAAAATTAAAATTAAACAATAAAGAAGAATGATTTTTAAAGATTAGCTGGCGGTAATGAAAGGATGGTCTGAGGTAGACAACTGGGTAAAAAAGGAAGTCAATAGTGTCACTGCAGGCCCCCAGATATGGTAAGGACCTGATCTACTTTGATGCTGGTGAAAAATAAGTAAGCTACTGGAACCAACAAGGAAAAGATATGCTTATTTATTCAACAAACTAAGCATGCACTGGATGCAATTCGCTATAAAAGGCTATGTGGGTGGCTACAAATACGAAATAGAAAAAGGTCCCAGGATGAAAGCATAATTATCTGTGAATACGTAAGAAAAAAAAAATCAACTTGACAGTAACCTTTTTCAGAGAATAGAAAAAGAACAAACATTTCTTTTTATGTGGCCAACAAAGCCTTGATGGCAAAACACCAACAAATACCTGACAAGAAAAGAAAATTATAAGGTAATCCTTCTCATGAGCGTAGATTAAAAAAAATCTCAAAACATTAGCAAATCAAATCCAGCAATAAAAAAAAGAATAATATATCATGCTAGATTTTATTTATCCCAGTAAACTGGGGAAAGTAAGTAAATTCCTTAATTTGACAAAGGTTATCTACAGAAAAACCTTAGCAAAGAATACTTAATCACAAAAGTACTGAATGCTTCTCCAAGACCTAGAAAACAACAACAACAAAAAAGGATTCTATTATCATCCTATTCAACACTGTACTGGGGGACCCCAGCCAGTATAAGGAAAGAAAAAAACACAACTCTCATTATTTGAAGAAACATGATTCTATAACATAAAAAATCCTAAAGATAAGTATACTTAGCATGGTCCTGTGGTACAAGCTAATATGCTAGAAGGAGAAAAAAAGAAATTGTATTTCCATATTCCAGGCACAATTAGAAAATAAAACATTAAGTTTAGAATAGTCTTTACCACTAGCGTTTAAAAGCACCAAATAAGAAGGAATAACAACTCTAATGAAAGATAGGCAAGACCTCTATGCTGAAAATTATAAAACATTAAGAGAAATTAAAGATCTAAATAAACAGGGAGATTTACCATGATCATGGTTTAGAAGATTAATATTATAAAGATAATAATTCTCTCTAAACTATCAATTTAATGCAAACCCAATGAACATCTTAGTATGTGATTTTTTTTGGAAGGGGAAACTCACAAGCTGATTCTACAATGTACATGGAAATTGCGGTAGTTAACAATAGCCAAGGTAATCCTGAAAAAATACTGAAGACACAGATGAATCTATTGCAGTTATAATAATTGACAGTATAATATAAGTAAAGGCAAAGTGACCAAGGGAACATCAGAGTCTAGAAACAAACACACACAAATACAGTCACCTCATTTATGACCAAGGTGATACTACAGAGTAGTAGGGAAAGGACAGTCTTTCCAGTAAATGATGCTGAATCCAACAGTAATGTGGAAAAAAATGCATTTTAACCCCTGCCTCACACTACACACCAAAATCAATTCCAGATGGATTACAGATCCCAATAAGAAAAGTTAAATGAAGAAATTTCAGGGAAAAAACTAAAGTATCTTTTTGTACCTTTGCAGAAGACAAACATTTCTTTCTTTTTTCTTATTGCTATACATTTATGTGGTACAAGTTTTTTTAACATGGATATATACTATGTATCTATGATGTGTACAAGTGTGAAGTGTGAGCTTTTAGTGTAAAACCATAGTGTACGTTGTACGCATTAAGTAATTTCTCATCCCTCAACTCCCATGAAGATTTCTTAAACAACATAAAAGATGTTAACCGTAAAAAGAAAATTAATAAACTGTACTACATTAAAATTAGGACCTTTCTTTTCATCTAAAGATACTACTGGGAGAATAAAAAAGGTAAATCACAAACTGGGAGATTTATGCAGTATATATCTTGACAAAGGATTCATATCTAGAATGTACAAAGAATTCCTATACAACAATAAACTTTCAAGTTACCAGTTTTGGGTTATTTTTTGAGACAGGGTCTCGGCTTTATTGGCCAGGCTGGAGTGCAGTGGTGCAATCATGATCATGGCTCATTGCAGCAGTGGGACAAAATTAATTGTAATGAATGAAACATTTTCATGAAGAGCTTTATCACAGACCTGCCTGCCAGGCATGGTGGCTCATGCCTGTAATCCCAGAACTTTGGGAGGCCAAGGCAGGGGGATCACTTGAGCCCAGGAGTTTGAGACTAGCCTCAGCAACACAGCAAGACCCCCATCTCTACAAAAATAAAATTAGCCGGGTGTGGTGGTGTGTGCCCATAGTCCTAGCTACTCAGGAAGCTGAGGCAGGAGGACTGTTTGAGCTAGGGAGTTTGAGGCTGCAGCAAGCTATAATCACACCACTGTACTCTAGCCTGGGTGACAGGGCAAAACCCTTTCTCAAACAAAAATAAAAACAAAAGATAGTTTAAAATATTGACATAAGTAACTAATGTACAAATGAGAGGTGATATCCATGGAATACTATGCAACCATAAAAAAGGATAAGTTCATGTCCTTTGCAGAGACATGGATGAAGCTGGAAACCATCATTCTCAGCAAACTATCACAAGGACAGAAAACCAAACACCACATGTTCTCACTCACAGGTGGGAATTAAACAATGAGATCACTTGGACACAGGGTGGGGAACATCACACACTGGGGCCTGTCGGGGGGTGGGGGGCTAGGGGAGGGATAGCATTAGGAGAAATACCTAATGTAAATTACTAGTTAATGGGTGCAGCAAACCAACAGGGCACATGTATACCTATGTATCAAACCTGCACATTGTGCACATGTATCCTAAAACTTATAATTAAAAAAAAAACTGCAATTACTTTTGCACCAACCTAATACATTCAGATTGCAACAGAAGGTGAATTTTGGAAAAAACAATTATTCAAAAGACATAAATGCATTAGGTACCCAGAAAAAAAAATTAGAGGTGATATAAGAGACAGAGGAGATCAGATGAGGGAAAGAATATACTATACCAGGCGTGTAACTATACATGCGTAAGTGTGTGCCTAACTGTCTGGAATCAGAGAATACATAATGGAAGGGAGGCATTTGAACCTGAAGACATTAAAAAAAATGTGAAAAAAAGATTAAAATAATTATAAATGTATTCAAACATACAAAAATGTACATGATACAGGAGTAAGCAGTCTCAACATTTTAGTATGCTAATGCTCCAGACTTGAGATATATTTGCTTATTTCTTGAGGAAAATACTGACATGTATGTCTGTTTCTTTTCCCCTCTCCTCTCTCCCCTCCCTCCCTCCCTCCCTCCCCCTTCTCTCTTTCCCTCTCTCTCTTTGTTGAAGAACCTGAGATCTGAAGATCTGAGATCTGAGATCCCACATTTCTTTTTTCTTTTTCTTTTTTTTTTTTTTTTTTTTTGAGACAGTCTCGTTCTCGTTCCATAACCCAGGCTGGAGTGCAGTGGCGCCGTCTTGACTCACTGCAACCACCGCCTCCCATGTTCAAGCGATTCTCCTGCCTCAGCCTGCCGAGTAGCTGAGATTACAGGTGCCCACCACCATGCTTGGCTATTTTCTGTATTTTTAGTAGAGACAGCATTTTGCCATGTTGGCCAGGCTGGTCTCAAACTCCTGACCTCAGGTGATCCACCCTCTTCGGCCTCTCAAAGTGCTGAGATTACAAGCATGAGCCACCACACCTGGCCTGAGTTCCCACATTTCTTAACGGTATATATACATACACTGTGTATACACAGTGTATATACTATACGGTTTCAAATTTTAAACAAAACTAGATCTTAAGAATTTTTCTGAAATTTAATTTTTAAAAATCATTCATGTTAGTGCACACAGATCTACCTTATTCTTTTGAATGACTGTAATATTCCATACACTGATAGAATGTATTTCTCCATGAAGGACTATCACAAATAATGCTCAGCAAATACCCTTATACACTTACATCGGTCTTTCTCTAAGACAGCTATCTACAAAGGAAATCACCAGATCAAAGGGAATGCATATTTTAAATTTTGATTATTACTGGCAAATTGTCCTCTAAAAAGGCTCTATCAATTTCCACTTCCACCAAAGCACATGAGGGCATGTAATTTTCTACCATACTGGCCAATGCTAGGCAATAATCAACGTTAACATATTTTTGCCATGCTGACAGACACAAATAGTATATTTTAATTTCATTTACCTGATCACTAGGGAGGCCAACACAGACTATATGGACATCAGAAATTGGGGACAGAGGAGGTAATTATAATTACAGACATAAGATTGCAGAGAAATGTGAAAGTAAAAGTATATCTTAAGACGAACAAATAATTTAATTTGGTTAAAATACCAGAAAGGTAAACGCCACGATGAGGTTGTGAAAGGTGAATACTAACTTATACCAACTTAAGAGTACAACTAGACTTTTTTCCTACAGGTTATGAAACTACCCTGAAGATTTTTTAAGTAAAGCAGTGACATTAAAACCATGCTTCAGAAAATTTAGGAGCCATGTGTAAACTTTCATGGAGAAAAACTGGCAGGGAGATCAACCAGAGGCTAGGATTTGGCCACAGATGACAAGAACATAAACTAGAGCAGAAGAGTTAGGAAAGGATGCATTAGAAATGTATTATTTACGCCGGGCGCGGTGGCTTACGCCTGTAATCCCAGCACTTTGGGAGGCCGAGGCGGGTGGATCACAAGGTCAGGAGATCGAGACCATCCTGGCTAACACGGTGAAACCCTGTCTCTACTAAAAATAGAAAAAATTAGCTGGGCGCAGTGGCAGGTGCCTGTAGTCCCAGATACTCAGGAGGCTGAGGCAGGAGAATGGCGTGAACCCGGGAACTGCATTCCAGCCTGGGCGATAAAGCAAGACTCCGTCTCAAAAAAAAAGAAATATATTATTTACAGAACCAAGATCAAGAAAACTGGCAGGTAGTTAAGTAACAGAGGAGTAATCATGTTGACAGTTGAAGAAAAAGCTCTTCACCAACCAACCTGATGCTGACTACATTTAATGAATAAAACTGCCAAGAAATGTGCCAAAAACAATACGATGCAAGAAAAACACAATAGATGAATCATCTTAAAAACTCAAATTAAAATAAGGAAACATATTTCTTGGGTACCTGAGAGATCACTGCTTTCAATTCGCCGGAGATCTGAATCAGCCCAAAAGAGCTTGCCCAGCCTGCTATCAAGGGCTAAAGCAATTGGTTTACTTAAGCCACTGAAAAAGAGGACCTCCCGTTCTGTCCCATCCAAAGCAGCCCGTTCAATTTTAGGAGACCTTTCCTGAAGATTGGTAAAATACATATACCTAGAGGGAAAGGAGGAAAAAAATAAGTTACTGGAGTAAGAAACCACATAAAATGAGGATATTCTTATTAAGACAAATGGAGGTAGAGTATTTTTAAGTATTGTTTTTAAAAGTTTTAAAATACGTATTTTTTGACCAGGCACAGTGGCTCATGCCTGTAATCTCAGCACTTTGGGAGACTGAGGCGGGGGTATTGCTTAAGCTTATGAGTGAGAGACCAGCTTGGGCAACACAGCAAAACCCCATTTCTACAAAAAATACCCCAAAAATTAGCCAGGCATGGTGGCGTGTGCCTGTAGTCCCAGCTACTTGGAAGGCTGAGGTGGGAGGATCACTTGAGCCCAGGAGGCAGAGGTTGCAGTGAGCTGAGATTGTGTCACTGCACTCTAGCCTGGGTGATCGAGCCAAACCTTGTATCCAAATATATATATATATATCCTCTTTTATATAAATATATATGTGTATATATATATAAATCCTCTTTTATATAAATAAATGTGTATAGATAAAAATCCTTTTATAAATATATACATATCTATTTATATATTTACATTTTTAAAAGGTCATGGGACACTTTTACTACTTTTAATAGTAGCAACAAAGGTACACAGAAGTTATTAGGGAGCTTTCATAGATTAACAGAATAGTGTTAGACATAGGCACACATATGTTTTCAGAATAATACGACAAATTAAAGATCAGTGACTAGAGAGACCTTAACACAAAATTTTAAATTCTTTCTAATTAATCTATTTAATAACTAAAAAGAAGTTACATATAAATCACTTCTTATATTTAACGTCTAGATTTCATCCTTTTCCTCTCTTTTGAAGTAAGCTACTTTACTTGCTGAATACCTTATCATTGACTCAGATACAACTGATTATTGAGTATTTATTAAATGCAAAGCTCTTTATTAAATGAAAGAAAGCATACTAGTTCTCATCATAAAGAAAACTGATGTCTAGTGGTAAATACAAGACTAAAAAATAATTAAAAGTAACGTAAATTGGAAAGGACTAAGTATAACTTAGAGAGGCACAGATACAGAGTACTGAGTATTCAGGAGGGGGCAAAAATCACATCTGGCTGGGATGAGGTAGATCGAGGAAAACTTCCTGGAGGACGTGGCAGTTGAAATGGTCCTGGAGGTGTGGTTAAGACTTAGAATTAAAGCACTAGTGGCCCAGGAAAGAAAGTCTGGGCAGTGAAATCAGAGAAAGTGTAAGACAACTGTTAAGATAATGCAGAAACAAACTGATAGAGAATATTGAATTGTTTGCTGGAGCACAGGACACTTAAAGGTAAATAAATAACAGGCTGAAAAAGAAGGGTGAGGAGAGTCTCAGAAGCCACAGTATCTGAACGCCACTTTAGTAACATACCCTTTCTCTGGGTTTACCACAACGGCTCGAGGTCTGTCCTGCTCGCCTTTCAGCACCACTCCAACTGATCTCCCATCTAATCTTGTCACATTAATGACATTGGTAGCCTCACAAGTCCAGTAGATGTAGCGGCTGTAAATATCAATGCTGAGGTCATAGGGTTGTATTTCCAGGTTCTGACTCGGAACTGAGCTCACAACCACAGTAAAGCCCTAGGGAAAAAAAGAAATACAGAGAAAATTAAACTCCAGGGGCAGATAACCCTGAGGCAATCAGTCACAATGCTTACACCTACATGGGCACACAGCTGAGAAGGCTCTCTCAAGTCTTAAGGAGTATTTCTTACTGATACCTTTTTTTATGGGTAATGTGCTTCTTTGTTAATACACATCTCAAATGTTCCTTGGGTTATCCTGCTGCTGAAAAAAAGAGCTGAGGTCAGATTAGTTGCTCCAAGAACCTGATAATGCCTTGATTAAGAGATGGGAGTGAGAAGGTGGCAACTATCTTCTCTAAACTGGAGACAACTGTGGCTAAAACCACACCCTAGAAATATCTCTAAAGCAGCGGATTGCAACTAGAGGCAATATTGCCCCGCCATGGGCATTTGGCAATGTATGAAGACATTTTTTACTGTCACGACTGTGGGAATACAACTGGTAACTAGCAGGCAGAGACCAGGGATGCTGTTAAACATCCTACAATATTCCGAGCAGCCCCCCACAACAAACAATTAATCCAGCCCAAAACGACCACAGTGCTTGAGAAACCCTGCTCTAGAGATAACAGCAACTAGTAAAGGCTACAAATCAAGTCATCTCCTTTTCTGATCCTCAAGTCTACACATGCAATTTTTTTACAATAAAGTCAAGCAAAAAGAGAGGCTTTGTCCATTTGTGCCATCTGAACTGTATCTTACTGGTATCTCTGAAGTAACATATTCCTTAATTTCTATCTATTAGTTATCAGCCCATCAGTCCTGGCCTATATGGTGGAAAGTGTGTCTGGAATACACAGCTATTACTATACCCTAAATGATCTCTCAGCAGCCCTAAATATATTACCTCCTTGGTCTTTATTTTAAGATGAGACATAGTGAAAAACGGTACTCTAACTTCCCTAAATTTTAATACATTCAAGATACAACTTACGATCACTGCTATGAGGATGACAACAAGTAATTATTTATAGTATTATAATCCCAGTCTGACAGGGCTCGGCCACAGAAAGCAAGCAAAGAAGTATCGATAGTGATGTGTAAATCCATAATTGGCATGTAAATGGGTAAGATTTATTGATAATATCCTCATTCCCATCCCACAGTCACCATATAATTATGACCAAAAAAACCCACTGGATTAATAACATGTTAGATGTTTTTAACCCTACTGAGATTGTGTTATATGTTTCATATCCTCTGAACCTTTTAAATAATAGTTAATTAGTAATGTAACCGTTATTTATTGAGTTCCTGTTACATAACACATAAGAGCTATGTGCTTTGCATTCTTTTCAGCTAAAAAAGTTCCTAAGAATCCTAAGTGAGGGATAGAGCTGGAATCAGAACCAAGGCCTATTTCAAGGCTTCTAATACTCCATACAATAGAAATGTAAGGAAAAAGACTTCATAAAGAAACGTAGGGGGCAGTCACAAAGCCATTACCAACACAACAGCTTAAGTACGCCTAACAATTTTCATCATAATATCATCATCAAACAATTGCTTACTCAAAATATCGTCAGAAGGAAAAAATAAGCTACTAGGTCCAGAATTTCAGTTTCATACACACATACACACACACTTAAGCAGAGTCAAGACTTAAGTGAAACAGAGTGGTTGGTGAGTCCAGTTATTAGTCAGGAGAAATGAATTTTGAACCAAGCTCTCAATTACCTGGCTGCCATCTTCTTGTGCCTTTCGGATCATGTTTTGTCGTGAGTCAATCCAATAGAGTTGCTTGTCCAGTGGGTCATAGTCAATGGCCCGGACATTCCGAAGGCTGTGGATGGGAAGGATGATGTCGGGGCTCTGTTGTTCATCAATCACCATGCGGTTGATGGCACTCTTTTGACTGAAGAGCAGGAAAGTCGTAGGAGCTTAAAAGGAAGAAAAGAGAAAATCTGAAATCTAGTTACCCTACATCCTCTATCATCCAATGATTTGATCAGCCTGTTGTATGTATTTCATACAAAACAGACATAGATGTTGAAGAGCTAAGGCTGAGGACAAAATTCTTTGGCATGCCCTCAAAAACTCTCTTCAGAGTAACACTAATCAGCTCTCTGGTTACCAAATCAGTTATGAATTTACCTAATGACATAGCCACCTACCCTGTTTTTCTCCATCTTGTCCACAGAGATACCACAGAAAACTTCATTTCCATCAGGTATTTGATATACAAAATTCTCCTGGTCTACCAAGTGAATAACCCTTAACCTATTCTGTCTGGTGGGTGGCAGGAAGCCTGGGCTTTTATAAATTAAAGCAGAAACTTCTAGACTGATTTTACACTTGACAGGGCAAGACCCATCTAAGGAAAAAAAAAAAAAAAAGAAGGCTGATTTTTAGTCTCAGCCTTCTCATTTGATCTTAAGTCACTGAGCCTCTCTAGGCCAAAGTTTACTCAGCGGTAAAATAAAAGTCATAGTCATCTTGTCCCTCTCACTGAGTTGCTACAAGAATTTTACAACGTATATGAAAATACTTTAGAAACTGTAAGGCACTATATAAATGTAAATTTTTAATGTTTTTAATAACTTAAAAATTATTTATAAAAAATTAATAGAGATGGGGTCTCGCCATGTTGCCCAAGCTGGTCTCGAACTCCTGGGCTCAAGCAATCCTCCCACCTTGGCCTCCCAAACTGCTGGGAATACAGGCAGAGCCACTGTGCCCACCCATAAATTTAAAATAATTATTTATTACCAGTAGTGGCAGTAATAAACTTGGTATTAACAGGCACTGAAACCTTAATGGATTGCAGATACTATTTTGTTGTTTATGTGAGGACGGCATGGAAAGAGAGCAGGTAAAAATTACAAAAATAATAATAGATGCTTTATGATATGGTTTGGCTGTGTCCCCACCCAAATCTCAATTTGAATTGTACTCCCACAATTCTCATGTGTTGTGGGAGGGACCCAGGGGCGGGTAATTGAATCATGGGGGCCGGTCTTCCCCGTGCTGTTCCCATAATAGTGAATAAGTCTCATGAGATCTGAAGGGGTTCCCACTTTTGCTTCTTTCTCATTTGTCTCTTGCCACCGCCAGGAAAGAAGTCCCTTTTGCCTCCCACCACAATTCTGAGGCCTCCCCAGCCATGTGGAACTGTAAATTAAACCTCTTTTTGTTCCCAGTTTCCAATATGTCTTTATCAACCGCATGAAAATGAACTAATGCAGTGGTGCGATCTCGGCTCACTGCAGCCTCCACCTCCCAGGTTCAAGCGATTCTCCTGCCTCAGCCTCCCAAGTAGCTGGGATTACAGGTGCCCACCACCATGCCCAGCTAATTTTTTTAATTTTAGTAGAGACAGGGTTTCACCATGCTGGTCAGGCTGGTCTCGAACTCCTGACCTCGTGATCCACCCACCTCAGCCTCCCAAAGTGCTGGGTTTGCAGATGTGAGCCACCATGCCTGGCCAAGAATGACTTCTGGGAGACTACCAACAACTTCAAAGTCTAAGGCCATTTTTTAAATCTTCATTAAAATATCTGTATACATTTCATAATTATACTCTATTTTCTTAGTGCTTAGACATCACCTAAATACAGGAGAATTTTGTCCTTCTCAGGAATATAAAACATAAATAGCCAAGCCACGACTCCTTGCTTTATTTCCTCCTATTCCCCATTCTTCACAGCTCCATTATTTGTGGTCTCTCAGCTTATTTTACATTTACACTCAAATGAATACTGGCTTAAATCCCAAAGGAAATCAGTACTCACAAAGAAACTTGTTATCTACAAAACTGCAATTCTGCTTTAAGTTCTTCATTAGTTAAAAACCCACACTCAGCTTGGAAGATTTAGAAAGTTATCCCAATGATCCTACTACAAATCTCCATTTCTGGAGTCCATCATACTAATACATTGATTTAACAACTTTTAGCAATTTTTGTGGAGTCCATACTTCGAGTAGTAAAAACACATCACACAGAATAGCTAAAAAGTCTCCCACTATCATTTTTATTTTAAAAGAATTATATTTTGGCAGTACTACTTTCTTAGTAAAGCAAGAAAAAAATTTTTAAAGGTTCTAAATTGGCTGGGCACAGTGGTTCATGCCTGTAATACTAGCCCTTTGGGAGGCTGAGGCAGTAGGATCACTTGAGGCTGGGAGTTCAAGACCAGCCTGAACAACCCAGCAAGACCCCCTTCTGTTTAAAAGACTTAGAAGAAAGATCCCAGAGTTTTAGTTCCCATATTTTCTTGCCTGGGAAGCAATTAATCAAATATATATTTGGCTCCTAGGATATTTTGCTGGGTACTCTCTTTTCCAAGCAAAATTTTAACCTTCAATAAGATTCCACAATTAGTTGTGGATCTTGTTGTTCTAGAAATGCAGATTAAGAGAAAGCCATATGTGGCTCCAAATAAATACCTGCTCCAAAAAGTCTACTCAAATATATTAAAAATTACAAATTAACTGGTTATTTCTAAAAGGCAGCTAATATTTTGACCTATTTTCAAGTCAGTGTTTAAAATGACAAAGAATATGCCATTTTAAAAGCCTAAATCCACCCTATCAAATTTATTAAACTCTAACCACCTCTCTCACATTTCCTTCAGAATGGTGCTTTAACAACGACCTCATCTGGTTGTCTTGAGTCTCGCATTCCCACAATGGAGACATCAGAGAAGCTGGAGGATGAGATGTACGTAGGAGGGAGCTTTTCAGTTCTCTTCTGAAGGCATATGTGTTCACTGGTAGCTTAGACAAAGGTGTTGCTCTTGTTTAAGAATAGAATAAACTATAAGGCCAAGACCATCATGTATGACTGTACCATTTGTGCTCTGTGCCAGGGGCATTGAGTAGGAACTGAAATCCAGTCCACACTTCCTTAGCCACGCCATACACCTGTAGGGCTAAATCTGCTCAGAGGAAACATCTTTTTCCAATTTGCACAAAGATGCCACAGAGGCCACTTCAGTACTGAATAAAGGATTACACAATCTGGCTTCCCATTTCCTCTCTGATCTAATTTCTTTATTCACTTCATTCCAGCAACACTAGCTTCCTAGGTGTTCCTCTAACATGTCGGACATGTTCCCCCAAGACCTTTTGCATTTACTATCCCCTTTTGCTTGATAGGCCTTCTCCCAGTATCCGCATAGCTCATTTCCTCACTTCCTTCAGTTCTTGACATAAATGTCATTTTTTCAGTAAGAACTTCCCTAATCACCCCAGTTAACACTGCAGTCCCTGTCACCATCACCCTTTCTTGCTCTTTATATTTCTTCATTATACTTATTGCCACCTAACCCCTGACATAATTTATTTAGTTTATTATCTGTTCCACTGAATTTCATTCACTGCTATGTTTTCCAACGGCTGAAGTAATGCGCAGCATGTAATAGGTGCTTGATAAATAAACACTCATTACAATAATATATGAAGAAACAAAGAAACAAGCAATAGAGCCTAGCGCAGTGGCATGTGCTCGTAGTTCCAGCAACTCGGAAGATTGAGGTGGGAGGACTGCTTGAGCCCAGGAGTTCAAGTCTAACCTGGGCAACACAGTAAGACCTGATCTCTTAAAAAGAGGGAAAAAAGCCAGAAAGAAGCACTGAGTGACAAGGAGAGCCTTGTAGCTATGATTTTGAAAGTAAGAAAATAAAATTTGAGACGAGGAAAGGAAAAGAAAAATTTATTTAGGACCTCCAATATATTACATATCATACTAAATGTTATTTAATCCACAAAATTATCTCTATTTTATAGGCGAGTGCGCTGAGGATCTGAAAGGTTAGGCCAGGCGTAGTGGCTCATGCCTGTAATCCCAGCATCTTGGGAGGCCAAGGCTGGTGGATCACCTGAGGTCAGGAGTTCAAGACCAGCCTGGCCAACATGGTGAAATCCCGTCTCCACTAAAAACACAAAAATTAGCCAGGCACCGTGATGCACGCCTGTAAACTCAGCTACTCAGGAGGCTAAGACAGGAGAATCACTTGAACCTGGGAGGCGGATGTTGCAGTGAGCCAAGATCACGCCACTTTACTCCAGCCTGGGTGACAGTGTGAGACTCTGTCTCAAACAAACAAACAAACAAACAAAAAGTCTTTCAGCCAGAACTGCCATCTTCCAGTAATTTGCCAAAATGATGAACACAAAGGGAAAGAGGAGAGGCACCCGATACGTGTTCTCTAGGCCTTTTAGAAAGCATGGAGTTGTTCCTTTGGCCACCTATATGCAAATCTGTAAGAAAGGTGATATTGTAGACATCAAGGGAATGGGTACTGTTCAAAAGGAATGCCCCACAAGTGTTACCACTGCAAAACTGGAAGGGTCTACAATGTTACCCAGCATGCTGTTGGCATTGTTGTAAACAAAAAAGTTAAGGGCAAGATTCTTGCCAACAGAATTAATATGCATATTCAGCACGTTAAGCACGCTAAGAGCCGAGATAGCTTCCTAAAGGAAGCTATCAGAAAATGGAAAGTTATCAGAAAAAGAAGGAAAATGATCAGAAAAAGAAAGAAGCCAAAGAGAAAGGTACCTGGGTTCAACTGAAGCGCCAGCCTGCTCCACCCAGAGAAGCATATTTTGTGAGAACCAGTGGGAAGGAGCCTGAGCTGCTGGAACCTATTCCCTATGAATTCATGGCATAATAGGTGTTAAAAAAATAAAAGACTTCTGGACTGTTAAAAAAAAAAAAAAGGTTAAATAATTTTCCCAAGGTCACAAAGCTGTTGGGTAAAACAGCGTATGTGTTTTTCCAAGCCTTGCCTTGTTTCTTCATTCATTTATTTAACAATAATTTCTTGAGTATCTACCACAGACTAAGTGTTATTCTAAGGCACATAAGATATGTCAATGAAGAAAACAGAAAAAAAATTGTTGCTTCATGGAGTTTATATTCCAACAGACAATAAGCAACAAATATAATAAAGAAGGAAGTGACATAAATAGTAGAGTATATAAATTACATAATACATAAAGAGGTGAAAGTGCTATGGGAAAAAGAAAAGAAAAAGTACAGATAAGGGGCACTGGCACGTTGGATAGAATGGCAGCATAATTTTAATTTTAAATAGCATAGACCAGGTGTCACTATGAAGGAAACAATTAAGCAAAGACTTGGACGTGAAGGGTATCCACGCAAATATATGCAATAACACTCCAAGCAGAGTAAACAAGCAGTTCAACAGTCATGAAGCGGGAGTACCCGGCCTAGCTGAAACCAGCAACGAGGCCAGTGTGGCTGTAATGAAGAAAGCAAGAGAGACAAGAGTAAAAGCTGAGGTTAGAGAAGAAAACTGAGTGGTGGGGAGTGAGAGTGAAGAAGGGGTTATGAAATGTGGGGTATAGGTCATGTAGGACCCAGTAGGCCATTATAAGAACTAGGTTTTTATTCTGTGTGAAATGAGAAGCCAAACTTCTCAAAAGAGATGTCTATATATGTCACTATCGTTTCCTTTTTTCCATTCACGTTTTAATGTACTGCATTCTGCATTTCACCATTACTTCCCTGAAATTACTCTCTTCAGGGTTAATAACCACTTTACCCAAAAATCCAGTGTATGCTATTTTAGACCTCCCCTTACTCATTCAACAGAGTTCATTTTTGAAACAACCTAATCTCTGTCTTCGTGCCTCTATTCTCTCCCGCTTTTCCTCTTACCTCTCTGGTTGCTACTTCTCAGTGTTCTCTGTGAACTTCTCTTCCTCAACCAGAGTTGCATAGTTTACCAAGTGCCTTCTTTTCTCTCCATCAGAGTTAGCCCACTGATGGGGGTTATGGCCCACAAGTTAAATCTGGCCTGCTGCCTGTTTCTGTAATAAAGTTTTACTGGAATTCAGCCACTTCCATTTTTAAAATGTATTGCCTGAGGCTGCTCTCACACTGCCATGGCGAGAGCTGGGCAGAGTTCAGCAGGTGTGAGACAGCCTAAACACCCACAAAGCCTATGAGAGAAAGCTGCTGGCTCTTGAACTATACCTTCTCTTTAGGTAACCTCATTCATTTTAAATACATCCTGGTAATCCCAAAATTTGTATCTTCAACCTCATGTCTCTTCTCCGATGATAGTCCATCATCTATGACACATAATCTAGAGGTCATCCTTGCTTCCTCCCTTTCTTTCCCACACAGAACTCATTAACAACTTCTGCTTGCTCTAGCTTCCACATACATCTCGAATCCATCAACCTCTCTTCAACACACACGCTGCTGCCACCACCATTGTCCAGGTCTACCTGCATTACCACACTGGTCTAACTGACTTCCCTGCTACTGGTTCTCCCCAGAAATCAGACCATGTATTATCTTTAATCTTCATAACAACCCTATACAGCAATTACTATTATTATTCCAATTTTACAAATGAGAAAAAATAAAGGCTTAAAGAATTTATTACTTGTGTAAAGCAAAAAAGCTAATGTGTGGCAGAGATTCCAAAGTATAACCTCTTAATCATTCCACTACATGCTTGTGTCCTTTCTCTTTCACAACTGAAGTTGGCATCAGAACAGACCAAATTTTTCCTATGGGAATTCTGACACATTCTCTCAAGCACAAAAGAAAGTCATGTCAATAGTTAATTACCTCTAATATCCTTAGCAGTTTGTTACTTTCCATCATATTGACCCAAACCCTACACCCCTCCCATAATCTACTCTTTCTGATTTAATCTACTTATTTCTTAATCGTATCTACCAATTTGTTCTTGTCTATCCACCAAGAAATGGGCCTTCATATATATTTAAGTTATAAGCCAGGTTTCCCCTAGCCAACAATGTTTTGTTACACACTTTGTTGTTAGTGTTATGTGTGTACTTGCCGGTATTTAAAAATCAGGAGATGAGGGAGTCACACACACAAAAAAATCTAGATTCAGGACCAAATGAAAAGATCTGGTAACATCAGCTTCAGTTAAACTGCAACTGCCTACTATGTTCATTGCATGTTCTCTTTAGTTTCTCATCAACTGTTACTTTATACTGGGTTACATGTTCTCATACGCGTTTTCTGTATGGCCTGTTAAACATTTAAATTTTTTATGACTGTCCTACTCTTTGCACTTCAAAGGACAAGTAAGTTGTGTTTTGCGATTCACTGTTTTACTGTTTGTAATGTTCTTCCCTTCCTTTACAATAAATATGATGCATGAAACTATGCAACTTTTACACTTAATATTTAATGTCCAAGGGTAAAAGACTTAATTTTTCCTTTTTTTTTGAAGAAAGAATCTCTCTGTGTCACCCAGGCTGGAATGCAGTGGTGCCACCATAGCTCACTGCAGCCTCAATCTCCTGGGGCCAAGTGATCATCCTACTTCACCCTCCTGAGTAGGTGGGACTACAAATGCACACCATTACTCTGGCTAATTTTTTTATTTTTTGTAGAGGCAAGGTCTCGCTATATTGCCTAGGCTGGTCTTGAACTCCTGAGCTGAAGCATTCCTCCCACCTCAGCTTCCCAAAGTGCTGGGTTACGGACATAAGACAATGGACCAGCATAAGACTTAATTTTTCTATAACATCAAATTGCTATCATCAAACAAGTAATAAGTAACAAACACTTGCATTCCCCTACCCTTTAACCAAACAAATAACCCCCTCTGGATTTCCACACTATTTAACTTTAGAAAAAACACACACTAAAGTACTTTGAAAATGCTGCTTTCTCTCATTCTAGCTTGCTTTGGAGGGAAATGCAGCTTACCACTACAAGTCCTGTTGTCAGCATTAAGAGAGTAGTGGGCAGGGCATCCACAAACAAAACCCCCAACTGGCACAGCCAAGCAGAGGTGGGAGCAGTGCCCATTGCTGGAAGCACATTCATTCCACCCTGACTGTCGAGATGAGTGAAAGACGAGGATGTCCATCACATAATCCAAATGGCCCTGAATGATGGTGCGGTTTTGGCCACTGGTTTTGTTGGCACGCTCAATGCTGCGTCGGCTCCAGTCCGTCCAGTAGATATAATCTTGGTACTGAGTTAAGCCAAAAGGATGAGGCAAGTCATCTGCTATAACTTCACGGTTGAGCCCTATTTTCAGAAAGGCAGTAGACAGGGGAGAAGCAGAGTGATGAAATATGTGAGAATACAAGTGTCTTGCTGGCAAAAAGAAAAAAAAAAGCCCTAACATATAAAACATTACATTGTAAGCAATTTAAAATAGAAAAATTCATTTAAAAGCAATTCTAAAACGAGACCAATTCTCTGAAATCAATCTATCTTCTGACCCCATGCTTCAAACTTATATTCCTGCTACAAATCACTCAGTTTCCTAAAATTCTTGCAAATGGTCTACTTTAAATGTGGTTTTATTTTCTCTATATAAGGGTCTACAGTTCACTTTTTCTTCTTGAACTATAGAAGGAAAAGATGGAAATATATATATTTTACTGGTACAAAAGTCATTTCAGGAGTATCTAGGGAGTTATAAATTTCATTACAAGTCCAATAATAATGAAACTTTCACATAATAAAAAGATGAATCCAAGTACCTGGATCACTATTAATAACAAACAGGATACAATTCCAGAACAGAAGAAGAATGGACACATTCATATGAAGTTGTATTAAAAGTATCTAACCAATGATAAATAGCAGCCACTGATATTTGCATGGAAAGAATATACTGTTTGAGTAAAAAGTAGTAAAGCTTACCAAGCATATTTGAAGATTCTATTAAGTTGGTGTCCAGGTCTGTCCAATAAAGCCTCCTTTTAGCATAATCAATAGTTAGGCCGTTTGCCCGCCCCACATTTGGAACTAAGGTAGTACGTTCACTTCCATCCATTGCAGCTCTGTCTATCTTAGGTTTTCCACCCCATTCAGTCCAATACATAAATCTAAATTCAAAATAATAAATATTTAACATTTCAATTTTTTATTATCTGGGGGAAAGAGTCATATTCATGCAAAGTAACTAAATAAATTTAAAGAAAACATACAGCAAATCAAGGAAATGGGTTAAACAAAATCACGGCTACAATGCTTTCAATTATTTTGGCACCCTAAACTAAATATTTTTTTCCATATCCCAAAAAGGAAGTGAGTCAGCTTTCCTTAGTCTTTCCAATACATTTGTTCCATCCAAACCTAGGAATTGGAAATAAACCAACAGTTTATTGCAGTACTGGCATTTGTAAAATTAACATTCAAGAAAACAGCAAAGGTTTAAAGCTCTGGTCTCAGAATCTGGTTCACTTCTGAGTAAAATATTTTTATATACTTTTGAATATTAACTAATTTGAGTTTTTAATATGCTGAACTTACTTTTTGACTTGTGTAATCAACTCTTCCTCAAAATAAGTTGCAGAAGTACATGAAAGGTAATTATAAATACTAAGCCTTTAACTGAAGTCAAAAGCAAAGCTTGAAAATGTATTTGGTCATATGGTCCAAGGGAGCATACTATATGGTAAGAACAACGACTCACCCCTTGATGTGTCCACTGGGCAATGAACACTACACTACGCTACAACAATCTCTGTGAAATTTTAGAATAATTACTTTGCTGTTATTTTCCATTTTTGAGTTTTGCACTTTAATCTTACAGTAATCCTACAGTATAGGCTTTTTATAGATGAAGAGCCCAAAACACTACAAGAAATGTGAACAACTTATCTAATGTCTTCAAGCCAGTTAGATGACAGAGCTAGAACTAGAACCTAATCCTTGGCCAAATGCCCTTTCAAGTAAACTAGTGAGGTGCTAGTTTTTGAGACTCTTGAATACTGGAACTAAAAAAGCACATCACATGCCAGCTCTCACGAAATACCTGAGGACATATATTCACTCATCAGCCTGTCAGCTGATAGCTGACTTGGTAGCAATGTATGAACATGCTTTTCTGAAAACTGAAGGTGTCCTGCCTTTATATGCATTTGCACTTGTCATTTGACAGGCATGTGCACACCACAAGAGCCAAAGAGAAACAACTGTGAGAGAAATTTCATACTTGCCAGCAGCAACCAATTAGTCCCAACTATTAAATTTATCTGTCTGGCAGCTAATGTTTAGAGCAAAGATCACCACAATATGTCAGTGCTGACTAGATGAATTACTAGCTAATCATGGAATCAATGTCACTTCAGGGAAATTATTTTAAGTAGCAAATACAGTAAACATATTTATATGTTCACACTGTTTACTTCTTTTTTTTTTTCCAAGATGGAGTCTTGCTCTGTTGCCCAGGGTGGAGTGCAGTGGCACGATCTCGGCTCACTGCAACCTCCACCTCCCAGATTCAAACAATTTTCCTGCTTTAGCCTCCAGAGTAGCTGGGACTACAGACACATGCCACCATGCCTGGCTAATTTTTTTTTATCTTTAGTAGTTACGGGGTTTCACCATGTTGGCCAGGCTGGTCTCGAACTCCTGACCTTGTGATCTGCCCACGCCTCGGCCTCCCAAAGTTGCTGGGATTACAAGCGTGAGCCACCACGCCCGGCCTGTTGACTTCTTTTATAAGTGGAATTTTTCTTTAGATTTCAGATTTCTTAGCTGCCGGCTTTAAAAAATTTGCTGACTCTTGTAAAAAGGAACACTCGCCCTTGAAAAACATCATGTTGTGAACAGTTTATTCTATCTTGTAATAACAAAGCTACTGCCAGTTTATAATAATGATCAAACCAAACTATCCATTTTGAATTAATAAATACTCCAAAATAAAGCTTTTTAAATGTAGTTTTTTCTTAGCTCACAACATTGTTTCGGTGGGTTTACTTCAATAGGCTTGGAATCTAGTATAACTGGGAAGGAGTGCAAGCAACTACAGATGGATAATACCTCTTGGTATATATACTTAACATATCAGTATACTCATCAGTAACATTTATTAACCCATTCCCCTCTTTCTTCACCTAAAGTTAATTACGACAAGAGTAAAATTAGCTAATAATTATTCATTCAAATCAGCAAAATATCAATAGTGTTTTTAAAAGTTCATCTATCATTTAGTTCTCAGATTCCTAATACGTATTATTTAAAACATTAAGAATATCATCTGTAACTATGCCATGTTCCCCGAAATGTACACTGCAGTTGCAAAGAATGCACATGTAAAGCTGTTTACCCTTCGGCAGGGTCCAACGCGAGAGCTCTGGGACTATCTAGGTCTTTCCACACCAAAACTTGTCGGTGCTGCCCATCCAACTTTGACACCTCAATTCGATTCGTTCCTGTGTCTGCCCAGTACAAGTTCTTCCCAAGCCAGTCTACTGCCATGCCTTCTGGATAATCTAAGCCGAATTCTACCACATGTTCCAGTGCACTGCCATTCATAAAGGCTCTGCTGATGGTCTGCAAAAGAACATTAACAACTAAGTCATATGGCATAAGTCTAAACCCTATCCAGAAAGAAGGTTTGGTTTGGTTTTTGTCAGGGGCAAGAGGATCCAGAAGTGCCAAGAGGCATACTATTTCCTATTAAAATTCACATAACTTGCAAGCACAGAAAAATTTGATGTCAATCTCTAATAAATGCAACTTCAAGTTTTACTGCCAATTCAGGGGAGAAATTTTAAAACTCTAATGCACCAAAAATTTATTCTACTAACAGCAGAATGACTTTACTTTTAAAATTTATCAGTAATCAAGTGGAAAAGCTGTGACCACAATGCTACAGATCTTAATTAGTGGTCAATTTTCTAAAGGTGCTTAAGATTATGGCAAGTCATCATGCCTACCATATAAATGAATGTAACCATTATACTACCATTATAGCACTGAGTCCCATAACACTTTTAAAAATCATAATTCAAACTAATAATAGATACATCTTATCAAGTATTATCCTAAGTACGTTTTGTCCGTAGATTTTGTCACTTAATACAACAGTCCTGCAAGTATGGCATCACCCCTATTTTATGTTTTTGAGACAGAGTCTCACTCTGTCACCCAGGCTGGAGTGCAGTGGCATGATCTCGGCTCACTGCAACTTCTGCCTCCCAGGTTCAAGTGATTCTCGTGCCTCAGTTTCCCGAGTAGCTGGGATTACAGGTATGCGCCACCATGACCAGCTAATTTTTGTATTTTTAGTAGAGACGGGGTTTTGTCATGTTGGCCAGGCTGTTCTCAAACTCGTGACCTCAGGTGATCCATGTGCCTCAGCCTCCCAAAGTGCTGGGATTTACAGGCCTGAGTCACCGCACCCAGCCACCCCCCATTTTCAAGATGAGGAAATTTAGAACATCACCCAATGCAAACCAAAATTTATTTATTTCATTTATTCACTTAATAAATTTAACTGAACACCATTAGAATCCAACTCTGACTCCAACACCCCATGTTTTCGCATATTACAAAAAAGTTTACATGAGTTATCTGAAACAAGCCCAAAACAATCTGGAAGAAGAAAAGATTATTCTTCAGATTTATAGGTTGGGAGCTTCCTCTCTGGCTATCCTGGTATTCTTTTCAGTAACTATTCTAGGAAGAAGAAAATAAAGAATAACTCATTGTTGGCCTTTTCCGCCTCAGTCAGGCCCTAAAATTTTGTTTAAAGTAAATCACGAATTTTTTTTTAAAGTAAATCAACAGCCATTTTACGTGAAGCACACATTTCCTTACTCAGCTAATTGCAGAAAATGTCATTCATCATTTTCAAATGGAAGAAAGTAGAGGAAGACTATGGCTTGCAGATTTAAAACACTCTGGCAAAGTATCTGTATTAAAAAGCATCTAATAAAATACTGAATGGGCCTTTCCCTTCACTTAAAAACTTAAGGGTTTTGGCTGGGCGCGGTGGCTCACGCCTGTAATCCCAGCACTTTGGGAGGACGAAGCGGGCGGATCACGAGGTCAAGAGTTCGAGCGGCCTGGCCAACATGGTGAAACCCCGTCACTACTAAAAATACAAAAATTAGCTGGGCGTCGTGGCACGCACCTGTAGTCCTAGCTGCTCGGGAGGCTGAAGCAGGAGAATCGCTTGAACCTGGGAGGCAGGGGTTGCAGTGAGCCGAGACTGCACCACTGCACTCCAGCCTGGGTGACAGAGCAAGACACCGTTTAAAAAAAAAAAAAAAAACTTGAGGGTTTTTGTTGAACTCTGCCTGTCAAACAATGAGGGAGGTGGGTCACAGCATGAAGATTCAGAAATTCTAGAAGTTCTCCCTTTTAGTCCCTAGCTTTAATATTCCAATTCTTTTGCTAACCTTGAGTGATATATCAGTCCAATAAATTCGGTTGTCTGTCACATCAAAATCCAAAGCAGAAGCTTCTTTGACACCAGTGAGTGGAATAGCCACATTATTATTGTTTGTTTCCAGAGAAATTCGTCTGATATCTGCTCTCCGTGAAAACAAAAGGAAAGCCTCTGGGACAATGCAGGTCTTCATGTCACTGATGAGTTCAAAGCCAATAGGGCAAGCACAGCGAAGGCCCTGAGGTCTATAGAGGCAGAGATGGCTACATCCCCCGTTTTCCTCAGCACAGGGGTTGGAACCTAAAAGATTAATTATAAAAGGGGCACAGAAGGACACACACATTGATACATTCAACATATTTTCACTTTTAAATTACTTAAGCGTTTGGTTCACAAATGCCTATGATTATGTCTTGCTCCCAATCTCAAGTTTCAATTCTAATATCACAAACAAGTAATATGCAGATTAATAGGGAGTAAAAGCATGGTGAAGTATTTTCCTTTAATACCACAGTAAGCTTTAAAGTAAGGTATATTATTCATACTATCAGACTGAATTCTTTTGATGAAGGTGTGCCTGTGCATGTGTATTCAGCCCTTCAATTCAAACTGGGTAGCTAGAGTAGTAAGTCAACGTTTAAAAGGTCCCTTCTCAGTAAAAAAAAAAAAAAAAAAAAAAAAAAAAAAAAAAAAGGCGGGGGGGCAGTAAAGAAGGTTTCAAAATTGCCTCAAAACATCAATAATTTACACTGCTGACTATCTCCATCTTTTTTCATTCCTGGTTCCCATTTCTAAGAAAGCTTTGGAGTTACTCACCAATCACTCGATGAACATTTGTAGCCTTTAGGCCCATGAGGTCAGGCAGCTGATCTATGATCACTTCCCTCTCTGCACTTCGTTTATGAACTCTTTCAATGCTACGCCTCTGCCAGTCAGTCCAGTAAACATAGTCACCCAACAAAGTAAATCCAAATATGTGAGGAATTTTGTCTTCCACTAGTACTCGTCTCCCAGTGCCATCAGTATTCATAACCTTCAGGTTTAAATTCAAAAGAGAAGGGGATGAATTATGCATTTATTCTTCAGCTAAAAATAACAAATCCAACTGCCTGTTGTATAAAAATCCAAGAGTCATCTTGGTATTCCTATTACAATGCTTTCTCAAAATTACATGATGATTTTATAAAAATGATTTCAAATTTTCCATATAAGCCTCTATTTGACCACTTTTCCCCCCAATCTCATATTACTCTTCCTTCTAAAAATTCTGGCAACTTTAGATTATGCAACTCTTCTATTAAACAATTGTGGCAAAATTAAAAATACAGTATCATCACCTTAAGTTTGCACATTTGTTTTCAAATTATAATGTACCTTCATATACATTATTTTATCATATATTTTGTTTTATAACATCTTTTATTTTATCTTGAGAGCTTTGCCTATGGAAACTGAGATTCATGTAAGGTCACAGAGCTTGTAAACACAGTTGATGTCTTTTTCAGGACTTTTTCCACTTAGCATGCTTTTTATTTTGTTGTTGTTGTCAGTAACAACAAAAAACAGATAAAAGGGATCTCAATAAATCTCTCATTCCTCTGAGATTATAATCACAAAAGTATCGGGATTATATGACACCCTCTCTGCATCTAAGTTTCAAGAAACTAGGATGTACCTTCTCTTTCCAACTACCTAATAGTAACATTATTAAATTCACTCTGGCATTCATACTGTATTCACAGTGCATTCACCATGCACTATTCAGTGTTGACTTACTTGGGATACCTTTATTGACATAATATAACTAATATTTGATATTTACATATAAGATTATATCTGATACCTTTTTTGGGGGGGTAGGAGCAGATATTGTTCACATGTACATGTTTTTAGTATGAAATAACATTTCTAAAGGCTAATTTGCCCAGCACGCAGGCCCCTTTAAGTGACAGAAATGGTCTCAGGTAGGGACTTGAACACTGGGACTCTGGAAGGCTTGCTGCATCTTTCAGAACAGAACAAGGTCTTCTCAGTTTCTACTGCAGCATTTCCAATTGCATTTCCAGGAACATGTACTGCTACCTCATCTAAAAGGTCATATACTTAACAGTGAACCTATGTCCTGCATTAGGGAGAGTTCAATCATTCTATTAGGGAGCACCCAACACAGAGTGATAAATATTCTGTATTATACAATACAAAAATATTACTTTCTTATAAGTTTGTGGTATGTTAAAATATGCCTGATTCGGTTTTATTCTTAGATTTAATTCTATCTTATTTTGCATTATCTTACATTTAATAAATTACGCTAATTTTGCTGATCTTTACATTCAAATGTTGGCTTTCCTATTAAAATTTGCTGGTGTAAAAGCATAAACTAGATGCCCAATATTAAACTTTTAAAGAATAACACTTATATTTCTACTTCTATTATGAGATCAACAAAATCTTTTCTCTTTCAGCTATATCACTTTCCAACATTTTTGTTTATTTTGATAAATAAATAGCTTAAACAAAAGATGGATGATTAAGTATGAATTAGGAAAATGAGGCTGGGTATGGTGGCTCATGCCTATAATCCCAGCACTTTGGAAGGCCAAGGCAGGAGGAGCACTTAAGCCTTGGGTTTCAAGACCAGCCTGGACAAAATGGCAAGGCCCTGTCTCTACAAAAATACCAAAAAATTAGTCAAGCATGGTGTGGTAAGCCTGTAGTCCTAGCTACTAGGGAGGCTAAAGCAGGCAGATTGCTTGAGCCCAGGAGTTTGAGGCTGCAGTGAGCTATAATCAAGCCACTGTACTCCAGCCTAAGTAACTCCAGCCTAGGAAAAAAATCTTTAAAAAGACAGAAAATAGGTAAGAATGAAATTAAAAATCATTGTGAGAAAAATAATAAATGCCACAATTCTAAGACCTTTTTAGTAAACATAATTCTGCATCTTCTATTTACCAGTTTCCCTTCATTCTTCTGTTCTCTAAAAAATTTCTCATGATCAGCAAACAGTATTGTGGCAGAAAGAGATTTGTATTTCAAATATAAGCTTTATCACTCAGTGGGTACCTTTAAGCAAGTCTCACAAATAAAATAGGGACAGCAGTCCAGGCGCGGTGGCTCACGCCTGTAATCCCAGCATTTTGGGAGGCCGAGACGGGTGGGTCACGAGGTCAAGAGATGGAGACAATCCTGGCCAACATGGTGAAACCCCGTCTCTACTAAAAATACAAAAAATTTGCTGGGCGTGGTGGCGCACACCTGTAGTCCCAGCTACTCGGGAGGCTGAGGCAGGAGAATCGCTTGAACCCAGGAGGCAGAGGTTGCAGTGTGCCGAGATCGCGCCACTGCACTCCAACCTGGCAACAAAGTGAGACTCTGTCTCAAAAAAAAAAAAAGGGACAGCGCCACTGCCATCACTGAATTAGTTAAGGATCAAATAAAATAATGCTAAATATATAGCACAGTATTAGGTGCACTATCTGGTAAACACTGGTTCCTGTCCTTTAAAAATCATTTTATTAAAATGCTTTAGTTCCTAAATGTAAACAGCTAAATGATTGTATTTAATTATTTAATGTAGTGCTTCAAAATAAAAATACATAAATATAAAAGAATATATGAAAATAAAAGACCAAAACAACCACTCACTGTTAAACTGAAGACAAAAACCAAGAGACCTTTATGTATCCTGAAACCAGTGGGAAACTACACAGCTACAGCCTCCCATTTCCTACTCCCATTTTTATTGTTTACTTTTGCTAGTTAGATATAAAGTAACTAAAACAGTAAACAAAAAAGAACAAATATTTGACAATTTCATATGAGTACACTTTTGCTGCTCTGCCAGACCCCTAACTCACCTCCCCGCAAATCAAACAACATTAGTAAAGACATCTAGTAAATGCAAACCACCATGATAGACCTGATGAATGCTGAGAAGTTTAGAACAGGGCCTCTTCCAGCTAATGTATTACAATCTAATTGGGGAGGTAAACGATATTTACATTAAAATTACACACATATCCCCTCTCTGTAAGTAATCAGGAAAAACTTCAGGAAATAATAGCAGTTGAAATTCATCTTGAAGAATTAGAATTTTGACAAAGAAAAAGAGAAACAGATTTTCTAGAAAAAAAGAAATGAGTTAAGACACAGCAAAGCCAAGGATGCACACGACATGTTTGACTTTGAAAGAAATGCCTTGACTGAGATAGAACGAACACATGGGGGACTCAAAGGATACAGCATCAAGCAGATACCACCCTATGGCAGGTATTAAATTCCAGGATAAGGAGAATTACAGAAAGCAAGAAGGTTCTGAAAGCACTTTAAGCAGGGTGACACAATAAACCCATGTTTCAGAAACACTTCATTTATCTCTGTCACCCTGTTCAGCTTGTGTTAAAGATAAATATCTTATTTTAAATGTAGAATTATGAAAAAAATAAATAAACCAATATAGAATTATGGTTAGCAAAATATTTTCAATTTCTGTGAGATGGCAAGAGAGGTCCAAAATCCCTTATCTAAAGTCAGGGTCAGTTGTATTCCTGAATTCAGACTGTTTTTGTCTTTTTGTTTTTTTTTAAAGAAAGGTTAACACAATGCACATAGCATATCACCTCTACTTGGGTTCAGGGCAGCACTATTTATAGCCAAACATGTTAATATTTCTGCAATAAAACACGGCCAGGCGCAGTGGTTCACACCTGTAATCCCAGCACTTTGGGAGGCCAAGGCAGGAGGACCATTTGAGGTCAGGAGTTCGAGACTAGCCTGACAAACATGGTGAAACCCTGTCTCTACTAAAAATAGAAAAATTAGCCGGGAGTGGTGGCTAACGCCTGTAATCCCAGCTACTTGGGAGGGTGAGGCAGGAAAGTTGCTTAAACCCGGGAGGCAGAGGTTGCAGTGAGCCAAGATCGCACCATTGCACTCCAGCCTGGGCAACAAGAGCAAACTCTGCCTCAAAATGATAATAATAATAATAATAATAATAAATAAAAGTATGCCCGCAGTGTGGGACAGACTACAAATAGTCTCACACTGGTTCAGATCAAGTTTTCCACCAAATCAATTAACAAAAGCAGCATTTGGTTTTCAGAGCCCTTTGGATTTCAGAATTGCAGATAAAGGATTATAGATCAGAAATACTTTGCTCATCTTCACTTCAGTCCCTTGAGAAAACTGGGGTTTGGATCAGTGTTAATACTGCTCTAGATACAAGCAAGGGTCTCAGGAAGAAGAGAGCAAAGCAAACAATGAAAAGAAAAAGGTCTTCAGCAACATTTGCTGAAAGGACAACAAATGAAGACCACGATCAAAGTATTAACAAGCTCAACAAAGGTATTAACAATGAAGGTATTAAGAATGGCACAGTGGCGAAGAACTCAAAATAGTTCCTGAGAAGGCACAACTAATGATTTGGTTGCTTTACTCACTTGAGCACTAGTCCCTTCCAACCATTCCTTGTTCTCTCACTCGAAAAGCAAAAACTAAAAGGTCTTTTTTTGGTAATGACGTAAATACAAAAGCAAGATCTATCAATTCATGTCTATTTCAAGTTAAGCAATGTAATTAAGATTTATTAAAGATTTTTTTAAAACCACGTTTTGTAAGCACACTGTTTCCTTTAATTCCTGATCTCCTTGTTCTCATCTGGTGTAGTTTTTACAATAGGTTTGGATCTAAAACAGCACTGTCCAGGAGAAATATAACACAAGCCACCAATGTAGGCCGTATGTGTCCATTTAAAATTTTCTAGTAGTCATATTAAAAAGTACAAAACATGCCAGGAGAATGTTTTCGCTCACACCTGTAATCCTAGCACTTTGGGAGTCCAAGGCGGGTGGATCACTTGAGGCCAGGAGTTCAAGACCAGCCTGGCCAACATGGTGAAGCCCCCTCTCTACTGAAAATACAAAAATGAGCCAGGTGTGGAGATGCACACCTGTAATCCCAGCTAGTCGGTAGGCTGAGGCAGAATTGCTTGAACCTGAGAGGCAGAGGTTGCAGTGAGCTGACACCGCACCACTGCACTTCAGTCTGGGTGAAAGAATGAGACTCATCTCAAAAACAGTATAAAACAGTAGACAGAATTTTAATAGTATACTTTATTTAATCTAACACATCCAAAATTCTTTTCTCTCAACCTGTAATCAATATTAAAATTTTATTAATGACATTTATGGTTTTTTTTTTAATACTAGGTCTCTTAGAATGTGTTTTACAATTAAAGTACATCCTAATTCAACCTAGGCACATTTTAAGTTCTGCAGAGCCACATGTAATTAGTGGCTACATATTGCACTGTGCTGGATTAGAGTCTTCAGAGTGGTGACTACATACAGCCTATAATAAAATTAATTGGTTCCTTTTTTAGTTTACATCACTGTCCCCTCTATACCTGTCACCTTCAGGCTTACCTCAGATCGATCAGGCTCACTAAAGCTTCAAACAAATGTCTTTTATTTGGTCTTTCTTTCTTCCAAGCTATATACTATTTAATTCTAATATGAAGTTAAAATTACTTCACACACACACACACACACACACACACACACACACACACACGTCTTAGATGAAAAAAACTACTTTTTTTCTTCTTGTCACATTTGCAAGTTTACATATAAAACACTAGCTAAGAGGTTAGTTAGAAGGAGCAACAAAGACCTGATTCTTTCATTTATTTTAGGCTATGTCAAAAAGGAAGTATTAAGACCATAGATATATTATTAGAAAACCCATTTCTGCCATCTCCTTAGCCCTCCTGCTTAAGACACGCTGCAGTCTAGATCAGCCATGTACTAACAATGGTTAAAACTAGGTAGTTCATGGTCGTCTCTACTCTGCTTTCTATACTCTGACATTTTCCATAATTTTTAAAAAATGAAGAGAAAAAGCTAAGAAGCAAGTCCAAGGACACACAAATAATAATGATGATGATAACTGCTGTTATTAATAAATGCTATTATTGGCCGAGCGCGGTGGCTCACGCCTGTAATCCCAGCACTTTGGGAGGCCAAGGAGGGCGGATCACCAGGTCAGGAGATCAAGACCATCCTGGCTAACATGGTGAAACTCCATCTCTACTAAAAACACACACACAAAAAACTAGCCAGGCGTGGTGGCGGGTGCCCGTAGTCCCAGCTACTCAGGAGGTTGAGGCAGGAGGATGGCGTGAACCCGGGAGGTGGAGCTTGCAGTGCACCGAGACTGTGCCACTGCACTCCAGCCTGGGCGACAGAGTGAAACTCAGTCTCAAAAAAAAATAAAATAAATAAATAAATAAATAAATAAATAAATAAATAAACGCTATTATCATTTTTGTTAGTATGGTATAGAAAGGAATTATAAGGATCCTCCGAAGAGATTAAGGGATCACCAGCTTAAACAATATCTGACTGTGAGACTTTGCATCTAAACACACAGATAATGTATTTTCCTTCACACAAAGTCCAATTTCTGAAATGTTTCCTTCCATTACTTTTGTAGAGGTGACACTATTAGAAAACTGACTTCTCCACTAAGTATTTCTCTTGTACCAGCCACACAATCTTTTTCTACCGGGCACAAGTTAACCATAGTGAAATAAGAACATGTTGCTCTGTCTTAAAGAAATCACTATTCCATTTCTCATATTCCTGTAAAAGTTTTGGACAGGTTACTAGGTCTATAAATACAGTTTAAGCTCCTTATGTTTAAAATAACACAAATCCTGGCAAAAGCTTGTTTGTATATTCTGAACCCAGAACAAATGAACCACTTTAGGCAATTCCAAAAGATTACACTTATGCTTTAAAAACTGTGCCAATGTTAATTAAATCTGACAACTCTTAAGGGTGTACTTCACTGTATTACCTCAGAGTGGTTTAATTAGTTAAACTGAAATTAGGCTTCTGTCACTTCTAAAATCTAACTCCAAATCTGAACCAGAGTCTCCAGTGGTTTCAGCTGCTTTGACCACACTGTGGCACATTGGTTTAACATTCTGAAATATTCTAAACCACACTGAGAATATAGGCTACAAGAGGAAATAGACGTGGGTTAACCATAACATTATCTGCACAAAGAAGAAGTAATGGCAAATCTTCTACAGACATCACATCCAGTTTTTGAGTCATTTCATCAGCTCATTAAATGTCAAGACAGGACTGCCCATGCAATCTTGGAATGCAGCCAGTCTACTACCAAAATTGCTGCTATGCAACTTCACTTGACAAGACAAGTTCAAGGAACAGATGCAGGAGGACAACCAAGCAACCACCATAAAATGTGCTAGAGTTGGAATGCTATAAAGTTCTAGAAGAGAAACTCAAATTATGCCCAAAATGAACCACTCCTCTTCTAATGTTCCAGACAATATCCAAAACAAGCAGTGAATTAAAAGCTTATACATAAGGAAGACAGATATGACTGAGGGTTGGGGAGCATATTTTTTCTGATACAACTTCATAGAACATAAAATATAATTTCACACAAATGGGATTTTAAAACACAGAATATTTATCCACGGAAATAACATTTCAATCATGCCAAATCTCACTGAGATGACAAGTATAAAGAAATGCTTTGGACCCAGTAGGTGAAGTAAAGGGACACCACACACCTGTTTGAGAGAGAGGTAGGGGCAATTACAGTGCTATATTCAAAGCCTTTTAACCTACTTCAAGATACATTAAGTCTGAGTACATATAAGTGATTTTAAATATGAAAAGAATTGAAGTATCATAGTTACTCTGGGTAGTTTTATAATATTTTTTGCAAGGAATCAGGCATTGAATATTAAAGATTTGCAATTACTATGCTCTTTTTCTGTTAGAGCTAAAAATTGCTACTGTGACCAAAGCTTTCTAAAACCTGAATTACTCCAGGAAACGAAAAAATTGAGAACAGAGTTCCAGATGAAGGCATCATGATGACGAATGTCAACATCCTGGTCAATTATACTCAACTGCTTCATAAGACACTTCTGAAAGCCTCACTGTCCTGAGGCCCCAAAAACCTAATAGGGAAAAGATTAACATGTCAACAAGGGAAAACTGCCCTCTCTGCTCTCATTCTTTTTAAGCACAGCTAAAATAAATTCTTTTGTTTTTGGGGGGACAGGGTCTTGCTCTGTTGCCCAAGCTAGAGTTCAGTGGCATGATCTCAGCTCGCTGCAACCTCTGCCTCCCAGACTCAGGTGATCCTCCCACCTCAGCCTCCAGGGTAGCTGGGACTACAGTTGCACACCACAATGCCTAGCTAATTTTTGCATTTTTTATAGAGATGGGGTTTTGCCATGTTGCCCAGGCTTGTCTCAAACTCCTGGGCTCAAGTGATCTTCCCACTTCAGCCTCCCAAGTAGCTGGGACTCCAGGAGTGCACTACCACGCCCAGCTAATTTTTATTTTCTGTAGAGCCGGGGATCTCACTATATTACCCAGGCTGGTTTCAAACTCCTAGCCTCAAGGGATCCAGGGATCCTCCCACCTCAACCCTTCCAAAGTGATAGGATTACAAGTGTGAGCCACTGTGCCCAATAATCAACTAGCAATTTTCAAATAGGAATTCACAAATTTCATTGTTATGCGATGTACCCCAGACACAAAATAACACAACAGGCCAGCACCAGGTTTACAACTCAATGAACATTAAGTCCAAACTCCAGGTGCTCTGCTGAGTTGAGGAATCTAATGATGGAGTTTATCAATATCATTCTTCTCTGATCATATGTTATGAAGATTTGGGGAGAAATATATATCCATACTAACATACAGTACATGTTGTGTGGTAAAGTAGCACAAATGGGCAAATATTTAGGTATTTAAATTAGTTATTTTGAATATTTCTCAAACTGAAGTATAATCAATCTTTCTTTTTTTTTTTTAAGCAGAGTCTTGCTCTGTTGTCCATGCTGGAGTGCAGTGGCCTGATCTCGGCTCACTGCAACCTCCGCCACCCGGGTTCAAGCAATTTTCCTGCCTCAGCCTCCTAAATAGCTGGGATTACAGGCGCATGCCACCACGTTTGGCTAATTTTTGTATTTTTAGTAGAGACGGGGTTTCACCATGTTGGCCAGGCTGGTCTCGAACTCCTGGCCTCCAGTGATCAGCACACCTCAGACTCTCAAAGTGCTGGATTACAGGCGTGAGCCACCGTGCCCAGCCTCAAACTGAAGGTATAATCAATTTTAAGAAACACAATGTTACAAATTGGCAAAGATTCAAAAGGAAGTACTTGTTGATACTTGTCATATTATCAGAACAGCCTTATCTCAACAATAGATTTATTATAATTTCTTAATGAGGAATTAATCTTACAAACCAACAGTAAAAAAAATTATCAACAGGTTCCTATATGTTTTTAACAGTACAAAGGCTAAGATACCAGACAAAGAAACTCCTTTAAAAAAGAAGTTTGAATACTTGGGAAACAAATTTCCTTATTAGGGTATTGATGAAATAAAGGAAGTTATCATAGGAAAATGTAGCCCTGCAATTTCAGGCTTAGAATATGAAACAGAACATTCAGCAAATGCCAAGTTTTCAGTACACATCATACAAAATAATACCTTCTTTATTCAAAAGTTCTTGGTACTAAAGGTTCTAATAAACCTTGTTTCTGTTTCCCAACAAAGGTGTGCCAGGTAAAATTAGATTTGTACAAAACTAGCTATGGACATTGTATCCTCTTAAAGTAGGGAAGCTTACTCTAAGATTTAAAGCAAATACACATGTTCTTACAGTAGACATGAAAATCTCTCTTTTTATCTATACTATCAGGTGTTGCTGCATTGTCAGTAGAAACTCAGAAATGAAAGTGGGCAGGAGAAACCAAAATAAAAAGTATATAATGAAAAAACAGGTCGGGCATGGTGGCTCAAACCTATAATCCCAACACTTTGGCAGGCCGAGGTGGGTGGATCATTTGAGGTCAGGAGTTCGAGGCCAGCCTGGCCAACATGGAGAAATCCCATCTCTACTAAAAATACAAAACTTAGCTAGGCGTGGTGGCATGCGCCTGTAATCCCAGCTACTCGGGAGGCTGGGGCAGGGGTATCACTTGAGCTTGGGAGGCAGAGGTTGCTGTGAGCCGAGATCACGCCACTGCACTCCAGCCTGGGCGACAGAGTGAGACCCTGTCTCAAAAAATAAAAATAAAAAAGGCCGGGCACAGTAGCTCATGCCTGTAATCCCAGGGCTTTGGGAAGCTGAGGCACGCAGCTCCAGGTCAGGAGATCGAGACCAGCCTGGCTAACACAGTGAAACCCCGTCTCTACTAAAAATACAAAAAATTAGCCAAGCGTGGTAGCAGACGCCTGTAGTCCCAGCTACTCAGGAGGCTGAGGCAGGAAAATTGCGTGAACCCAGGAGGTGGAGCTTGCATGCAGTGAGCCGAGATCGCGCCACTGCACTCCAGCCTGGACGACAGAGCGAGACTCCGTCTCAAATAAAAAATAAAATAAAATAAAATAAAATAAAATAAAATAAATAAATAAATAGAAAAAGAAAAAAGAAACTGTGAGAGAAATTTAGCATTGACAATACTATTGTTTTCAATAAAACCAACTATTAGAAACACACTGATTTTGTCAATCAGTTAAATGGGTATATAACAAGAAAAGCAACCTCAAGAAAATTTAAGCTAATAGTACATTCTTAATTTTACACCATGGCAAAAATGCTTTAAACCTATAAATTATCAACGATATATCTTGGCTATTAGTAAGAAGTACTACAGGCCCTCAGTGCAACAAACGTTTTCAGCAGTAAAACCTGATCCTAAAAAAAAAAAAAGGAATGCTGTTAAGAAACAAGGTTGTTCTGCCTACTGCAGGGTCATATAAAATAGAAATAAAGGCTTTTGATCTTTCCTCTATCAAAAACATGAAAATTATTCTTTCTGCTAATGCTTTAGTACTTATTATGGGAAGGCCCCACAACAATATAGTAAAAATCAGGAGGGGGGGTGGTGGCAGAAGTACTGTGCAGACAAGTAAACTAGGTTTGTCCACAAAAGGCAATGAAGTCATTTCAGCATAATGAAGAAGAGACATAAACAAGTACTAGCAGGCACCTTTTAAATTTTAACACCTACAGATAGGTGGCCACTATCACCTGACAAGTAGGGAAAACAGACATACCCTCACATATATGTTATTCTATTAAAGCAGGAGCCAAATACCACAACCATCTTTTAAAAAATGTGACATCATTAGCAATGCCCTACGCTCAATCCCTCCTTCCCGAAGCTTATTATAAACCTGAGGTTAAATCTATTCATTCTTTCTACAACTCTGTACAATATAAAAACACATCTAATACCCAGAATTCCCCATTCCTTCTCCCTGGTTTCCCTAATGTAGCCAGCATCTGGTCACATCACCACTTACAAAAGAGGAAGTGAGAAGCTGATCTAAAGAATTTCCACTAAGCGAGCAGGTAGCATAAATGAATGAACACAGTGAGACTTTCCCATGTGATCCACTCAAGACACATAGGTTTACTATGTCTTACCTTGCTATATAAATAATTTACCAAATAATTATCTTTTCTTTCCAAATGTACTATAAACACATATACAACAGTGTGAGCCCAAACTTTTTTTTTTTTTTTTTTTTTTAGACAGAGTCTTGTTCTTGTCCCCCAGGCTGGAATGCAATGGCATCATCTCGGCTCACTGCAACGTCTGCCTGCCGGGTTCAAGTGATTCTCCTGCCTCAGCCTCCCGAGTAGCTAGGATTACAGGTGCCCGCCACCACGCCCAGCTAATTTTTGTATTTTTACTACAGACAGGGTTTCACCATGTTGGCCAGGCTGGTCTCGAACTCCTGACCTCATGATCCACCCACCTCGGCCTCCCAAAGTACTGGGATTACAGGTGTGAGCCACCGCGCCCGGCCAACCAAACAGACTCTTAAGTCTTTCAGAAGAGAACAGGGTTATCACAACCATAATCTGATACTCTGTTATAGTCCCAGCGAAAAGCAGCTTTCATTCTCGGGCATGACAAAAGCTAGGGAGCTTTCTAAGGAAAATGGGACTAGAAGGGAGAATGTCACCCAGACTGGGGTTAGATCAGTATCTGGAATCAGTTGCCACTAACAAAAGGCTAGCAAATACACTTCTTGGAAAAAGAGGGATTTTTAAAATTATACATCTTTGTAAAAGTTTTCAAGTTCACAGTATTATCAAATCAAGGGAGATGAAAAGCTGGTAGTAGCAGTTGCTCCTAGAATCACTACTAGTCTCAGGATGGAAAACCCCAGATTTTCTCCCCGAGTTATGCAGGACTAATTTAGACGAAGAGCTGCACTCTTTCTTTAGTTTGCCAAGTATCAGATTTTACATCAACATAAGAAGAGAATAAATAACTATATGCTGTATTTCCTAGACGTGCCTATGTAAATAAAATGACAAAGGCTCTGATGTCCTAATAGTGAATTAGGACATCAGAATCTCCAGGGGAAATTATAAAGGGAGGTCTTCATGTATACAGAAGTAAATTTACCACAAACATCAATCTATAAAAAGGGGACAAAAAACAAACAGCAGTTGTGTTCCAGCAAACCTAGAAGGAGAAAGATGGATCTAAAAATAAGATTTATGGGTGACAGAGCCTTTGCAGATTAAAAGAACGAATGAATGAAGGAACAAATGAACGAATGAACGAATGAATGAAAAAAATTAAAAACAGGTTTAAGGATGCTGGTACCATACAGGGAAGAAGGAAAGAAGGGGTGACGGAGCCAATGACACCACTGTATGTATGTGTCTGTATGTATATATATATATATGCATAGCTCAAGAAAACATAACAAAGAGGCCAGAAAAGGAATTCTAATTTTAAAATCTACTGCACTCACTGCAAACTAGGAAAATAAATCCTATTTAATCAATGTTATATATTGTTATATAAAGTGTATTAATTTTTATTCTTAAAGATGGTCACTCAGAACCTCCATAAATTGTAATGTCTTTATCTGAATCCCTTCTGAACTATTTGTTATTCTGAATAAATTTCTGTATCTAAAGTATTATACCTAAAGTGAGGAAAATAAGACTTGAAATATTCCCAGTAAGAAACAAATGATTTTATTTTCAGGCTAATCAGTCAGTTATAGCAGACTAAGATGGGCAAAACCAAATACGGAATTTTAAAAACCCTACATGATAATAAATTTGGTGCATTCCCTTACGTAAATTTTCTTGCTACAGATATTCTTCTAAAACTTATGGGCTTTAAACTGTTTTCCTAAGCATACTCGTACCTATACACTCATGTATAGTTCATAATCCACAGGTGTGAACTAGATGGGATTAGGTAGGCAATCTATATTCAAGCTGACCAAAATGAAGCTAAAAGCCTGTCTGAAACATAAACTCATAACCTTTGTCTCATCAGCAATGCACTCCAACTGTTAAAAGATTCAAACATCAACTTGGATTTGAAAAGAGTGGGAGGCAGTGAAATACTAACAGGGAGAAAATTTATGGAGTCTATGCAAAATTTTCTATTAATGAAAACCAGCTGCAAGAACAACAGATGCCGTTTTCAGTATTTGAGCCTGGTGGAATACTAACGGGGTTTCTTCTATTCCAAGTTTCCATTTTGGAAGCAAGGCCTTGAAGTCATTATTCCCTCAGGGTCATGGGCACTCTACAGAATACCTTTCCAAAACAACTGTTCTAGAGTCTGAATTTTCTGTCCATTAGATGTGTACAGTGTCTCTCTGAAGAGCCATTTAAAGCCATCCTTGTATGTGAAGTTTCCCCCAAAGGAAAATTGAGACCTAACTCTGTTCTATCTATGTGATCCATAAGACCTGTAGCAAAGTCTAATTCAAAGTTGTTAATTTTAGACTTAACACCAATATCAGGGATATAGGCCACTAATAAAACACTGTGATAAAATATTAATCACTGATTATTTTCACCATAATCTATTTGATTGCCACAAACTTAACTCTACCACTTGGTAAATATTTTTTCCCAAGCTTTGGTTAATTAGTCTTGTTCCCACACAGCCCATAAATCAATTTTAAAATTGTTTGCATGTAACCATCATAATATTTAATATATTCTACCATCTGCCCCAACACCAGTTAACAGCAATAAAAGATATAGATATAGATATAGATATAGATATAGATATAGATATAGATATAGATATAGATATACACATACATGTGGGCTTTGTTTTCCTAACTTAGGACAGCCAGTTCTTCCAGTATAGATCTTACATAATTTTGGTTTGCAGAAATTGCCCCTAGGAAATTCAGAAAGTGGCTTTACCCAAAATGAGGAAAATCACTTACATAAGCTTTTAAGACTAGAAACTGATCAGCAGCCATTTCTCATACCAATACATCTCTCCATCCTAGGATTATGTGGAAGAGAATATATTATCCCTAGAATCATGAAGGTTGAGTAAAATTTCTGTAAAAGGTACCTTTGGCACCCCAGACAACTGTTAAGAAAAAAGAATATCTGTACTCAAATCATTATACTGTCGACTCAAAACCCATTATAAAAGTGGCTTGAAAATGAAAAAGCAAAAAACAAACCTCAATCTTGTCTGTTTTGGCATCTCCCCAGTATATTTTGCCTTCATCATAATCCAAGGCTAAACCATTTGGCCAACCAAGAGAAGTGTTAACCAATACTACACGGTCAGAACCATCCAGAGCTGCTCGCTCAATTTTCGGAATTTCTCCCCAGTCAGTCCAATACATGTACCTAGAGAAGTATACAAAAAATGAGCTAAAAATAGATAATAAAATGTAACTTTCAGATATTCTAAAGGTGAGATCCATCCCTCCTATTACACTGGTATCATCAGTTAATGCCAAGGAAGGGGAAAAAAAAAAAAACATATGAAGAGGTGTTTAAGACATTTATCCCAGCAATATATAAGATTGTGGGAAATTTTCAGATCAGTGTGTTCTAGAGCCAATCCTGAAAATGCCTCCCAATAATGAGATTACAGTTTTACTTCTTTTTTTTTTTTTTTTTTTTAAATATTTTGTGTGCCCTTTTCCATGAACTTTCTCTCTCTTTTCCTTGATGGCTTGTCATCTCTCTGACACAAAAGGCTTATCCCAGCAGTATTAGTCAGATGGCAAACTGAATTCTCAAAATAACTATTTCTTCCTGCAGTGCTAAGTGATTCTTACGGCTCCTGGATGTTTAGATGGCTCTAAGGCATTGGTATATACTGAGGTGTAATTTGTCACTATGCTTGTCCTCAGAATAAATCTCAAAGTAACAAAATTGTTGAGTATGTAAAAAGTTGTACTTCCCTGGACTATGATCAGGGTGGCATGGCAAAACAAAACAAACAACAACAACAAACTAGAAGTAAAGCTGCATGGGCTGGCAAAGTTTTGGAAATCAAGTCATTCATGTATTTAGGGAAAAAAAAGTAAGCTATATTCTTACTATAAAGTACTGAAAATGGAATTAAAGCTTCTAGGGGAAGGGAAAGAGTTCTGAAAACAATTTCTTCCCACATTTTTCATGGTAATGATGCAATCCGAGCAAAATCTGCAGACAACACCCAAAGTCAGCAAACATGGACTTAATTTAGAAAGAAAAAATATCTAAGACATCCAAGGCAAAAAACTAGCAATTTTTAAACTTGAGATTGTATTCTAATCACCATATCCTAAAATAGACAGCCATTAAAGAGCTGTTTACTGGAAACCAATATATATGTCATGTTATCTTAGTCAATGTTTTCAGGAACCTGTGAAAAACAGAAACACCACACAGAATTTACTATCAGTAGAGCTTCTTACCCAACCATGGGATCTAACACAATAGCCCGGGGTTCCTCTAAGTCCTCTGAAATCAAGATCTTCCTCATGGTCCCATTGAGCCTTGTCACTTCTATTCGATCAGTGCCAGTGTCTGTCCAATAAAGATTTCGTGCAACCCAGTCCACAGCAATACCATCAGGATGGGCAATTTGAGCAGTGACCACAAACTGACTGCCAGATCCATCTATAAATGAACGGCGTATGGCCCTCACTTCATCATCAGTCCAGTAGATGTAGCCTTCCACAGGATCGTAATCTATGGCAATGGCATGACGGATGTCTTCTAACTGCAGAACAATGTCTGTAAAATCTGGTGTATCCAAAGAAATGCGTCTCAAGTCTGTCCTTCGAGCTAAAAGCAATAATTCTGTGGCACCTAGAACAACAAAGTGAAATGAAGAATACTTTGAAACCCAGAGGTAAAATTTACCTGCTCTAGATAAAGAATCAAGAACTGAAAAATAAATATAAAATATACATAAATTAACACAAAAGGATGTGCACTCTCTTTAGAGTGGAAATGGAAAGTAATACAGTGAAATAGAAGAGTCTACTCTGAGGTCAAGCTGTTTAATGGCTAACTCTCCAAATTAAGTTGTGATACATTCTATGGTTTCATTGGAATTAATCCAGCTATTTAAAAGTACAATGAATAATGACTATGTAATGACTAAGAAGCTAAGTAGCTCAGTATTAAAGGAGAAGGAAATGTAGGATATAGATCCTTTGTTCAAGAAGCATTTTTTAAAAAAAGATAAAGAAATTTAGGACAAGAATCTTTGTGCTTGATAGGAATGTTCTAAAATTGGATTGTGGTGATAACTGCGTAACTCTGTAAATTTACTAAAAAGTCACCGAATTGTACAATTTAAAAAATGGATGGATTTTATATGCTATGTAAGTTACATCTCAGTAAAACTGTCTTAACAAAGAGAAATACAGGGCAATACCTCACAGAATTGAGGACAAAGCAAGCTATGGAGAAACAAACAGCTGCAATGGAGGGAAGGAACCAGATAAACATAACACAGTGGTTAAGAGTTGTGGATCCAATATAATTTGATTCAAGAAGCTACACAAACTTTGGGAAAATATCTAATCTCGCTAAGCCTAGTTTCCCCATCTATACCTTGTAAGGTTGTTGTAAGGATTAAAGGAGATAAATCTAAAACTCAGGAAAGTACTGAACATTTAAGTACTCAAGAAATATTAACTAATACTTAACAACAGTATTAAAAAATAAAGATTTTCAGATTTTTATTTCACTGAATTTTAAATTAGGTTTATTTATGAACTGTTTAAAGCCCAAGCCCCAAATACTTAACCACATAACCAAGAATGAAGATACTGAGCTCAATCTTTTTTTCATTTTAAATTGTTCAAGTAAACCACCAGCAAAAAATCGTCTAACTATAGGAAGCTAATAAAAGACAGTAAGCAAATTGACAACTGAAAGAATAAGAAAAGATTCCCAGCTAAATAAATGAGTCCAAAACAAAATACTGGCATATAAACTTCAAGAATCAATCTGCAATTACAAGTCAAAAAACTGAGAAGAGGAGTGAAGCCTCTCAATATCAGCCCTTTCACTCTAGAGCTAATTATAAATGAATTCCAACTTGAAGAAAATACAGCCCAAATGCCACTGCAGGAACCAAGTAGGAATAACTTTGTACAATTCACTGCCCCGGCTAACAACCAAAAGGAGCCAGCCTAGAACTTCACAAAGAAGTCATAGAGCTGTTAATTTGAGCAAGGTGATCAAAACAGAACAGTTAACTTAAGGCTACTACATGCCAAATGCACACATGAAATTCAAAACTGGTTAAATATGTACACTTGCACTGCTGTGAGGGAGCAGATAGACCATTATTGCTAAAATAAATCCTCTGTTTTAAAGTCAGGCTACATTTTTAAAGAAAAAAGCAACATTACAAAAACCTTTTGTTTTAAATTGAAACCAAATTGCTGTCTGCCATGGAAACCATTTGACCAAGAGTCAGCCAGCTTCACCTTTTACTATGAGGATAATTTATCAATGCCAAGTCATAACAAACATCCTGTACACAGACTCAATTCCATCTCTCTGACTCCCTGGCCCCCTTGCCAGGGACTCTAACACACTCCAAAACACAGGCTTCTGCTTTTCAGAGTTAGATAAAGAAGCCACAGCTAAATACAACAATTTTCTTACCAGGTCTTGCTGGTTGCTAGAGAACCAGATGGTGATCCATAGGGGTGAGAATGAAGAATAACATTCTCATTAAGAAGAAAAACAGAAGAACTGGTGTTCTTCCAAACTGGAAGTCCCTTAAAATGTCCTAAATCAGTATACTTTCTCCAACGTGCCCTCTCTCTATAGGGAATTAAGAGTAAGGAGAACAGGCAAAGTGTGTTTCTTAAGTATAAAAAGAAGTTGTTTTAAATATGGATTTTTTTTCCCAGCTCTGAAAGCATCTCTCTGTTGTTAAAAAGCAATTTAAAACATCCTTAAATAATTTGTTATAAAATATATCTCATGATATTCTTTGTAGCTAAAAGTTTAATAAACATACTTTCTTTCACAGAGGTTCTTTATTCACAAATGCTACCTGTTAAAAATATATTCCTTATGCGACTACTCATTTCCATAGTTATCAACTGTGATATCAATGACTATGAGATTTGACAGAAAAGATACAACACGTAACTTTTTTCAAAAATATGTTATTTAAAACACTAAAATAATTTATAAAATAGCATTCAAGTGATGCCACAGAACAAAACACTCCTATTCTATAACCATGTGTGAAGACTGTGAAATTAAGTGACTGGTCTCCCAAAGCAGTATAACCTAGAGAGCTGATTATAGAGAAAACAAATCATGAAGAATTCCAATAGTTATAAAATTTTTCATTTTGGATAATATCTTCTTACCATCTTTGCAGGTTTTTCCATTCTCCAGGAGTTTGACCCCAGTGGGGCAAGCACACTGATAAAAAGGCTTGACTGGAGACATCAAACACAAATGGGAACAACCCCCATTGTCAATTCCACATGGATTTGTGGCTGTCAAATATAAATCACATTGATTAATATCAATGATTACTAAGTACACAAAGGTTAACAACCATAACATGAACAACTGTGATAAGCCAAAATTATTACCAAATGTCATGCAGGTGCTTGACTATCAAACCATCTGCAAAGACAGGAATTAATCAGTGTGAATTTACTTAGTATTTTGTAACCAAAGAGGAATACACAAGAAGTAAAGCAGGAGATCCCTGCCCTAAAAGAGGTTACAATTTAGTCAGTTAAACAAAATTAACAAAAAGCAAAACTAAAAACAAACAAACAAACAAACAAAACCAATAAAACTAAGTGCTATTTTGCACATTATAGACAATAAGTACAGAGTCAAATGGGAAAAAAACCGCTGAGGTTTAAAGAATTGAAGAAGAGCTTTGTGGAGTATACAGCACGGGAGCCTTCAAGGATAGGAAGGATAGATAAGAGGACATTTCAAGTATGGTAAAGCTATCTGAATAAAACTTTGGGGGCTATAAACTGGGTAAGATATTAAGGTGAACAGTATAACTGGAGGTTAAGGTTTCTACTGACTAATAGGAACTAAAGCTGAATGAATACAAAGAATGGGAATAGATTAAAGTGAAGGACACTGAAAGCCAAGAAAAGTAATTATGTTGAAAAGTCATGCCTTGGGAAGATTAACATAGAAGGGATAAGCAGAAAAAAGGGGAAAATGAAAATCAGAGAAAACTAATTAGCAAACTTTGGAAATTATGGAAAGGGATATGTCCAAACAATACTCATAGAAAAAAATCAACATAAGATGGAGACCAATGGAACATGAAAGATAAAAGTAACCAACATGAAAGATAACTGCAAATTCTCAAATTAGTAAAACATAAAGGACCAACAATGCCATTTAAAAAGAAAAACAAGAGGCCAGGCACGGTGGCTCGTGACTATAATCCCAGCACTTTGGGAGGCCTAGGTGCGTGGATCACTTGAGCCCAGGAGTTTGAGACCAGCCTGGGTCACCAACATGGTGAGACCCTACCTCTATAAAAAATACTAAAATTAGCCAGGTGTGGTGGCATATGCCTGTAGTCCCAGCTACTAGGGAGGCTGAGGTGGAAAGATCACTTGAGCCTGGAAGTTCGAGGCTGCAGGGAGCCGTGATCACATAAACGCACAACAGAGCAAGACTCTATCTCAAAAAACAAACAAAAAACAGGGAAAATTCTCTTTTGAGGGCTATGAAGAATAAAAAAATTCATACAAGTGACTGAACATTTTCTTTTGTACAGAAGAGTAACACATACACTTAAAAACATTTTTATGGGCTCATGATCATCAGATTCCAACATAACACTTTCAATATTTGATTATCTCCCCCTAAATGGAGAGCTAATATAAAGCAACATATGTTGCAAAATCTCTTCATTTTTGGCTATGTAATAAAATCTGAAATACACTCAGACAGATGCCAGACATTTATTTACACAAAAGTGCCAAACCCTTAACATTCTCGTATTCCTTTTAAACCTAATTCCAGTCCTCTCTTACAAGTTCTCAGCAGTCATAGCCCGAGTCATTGTAAAGGCTGACCAAACACAGAACCAAAACTAAGGAAAACAAGGTGGGAGGGGTACACAGAAAAGTTTAAGTAGGTATTTTATTTAGCAAGCTGAGGTACTTAAATTCAAATATATTCTAGATTAACAGAGTTTTCATTTAAAAAGAAGAGGCGTTTTTGTGTGTGTGTGTGTTTTTTGTTTTTTTTTTTTTTGAGACATAATTTCTTTCTTGTTGCCCAGGCTGAAAGTGCAATGGCGTGATCTTGGCTCACTGCAACCTCTGCCTCCCGGGTTCAAGCGATTCTCCAGCCTCAGCCTCCCAAGTAGCTGGGATTATAAGCACACGCCACCACGCCTGGCTAATATTTTTGTTATTTTAGTAGAGACGGGGTTTCACCATGTTGGCCAGGCTGGTCTCAAACTCCTGACCTCAAGTGATCCACCTGCCTTGGCCTCCCAAAGTGTGGGATTACAGGCATGAGCCACCGCGCCTGGCCCAAGAGTTTGTTTTTTAAACACACTCACATCAACACATTCAACTACATACTGAAAGAAATAATATGAACAAAAAAACTCATTTGTGTATAAGCCTAGCATATAAGCTATCTCAATTTTTAAATTATCTCTCTCTTCTCCACCTCTAAAAGCGCTGACTCAAAAAGGCTGAGGTGGTCTGTAGTGACAGGCTACAAAATGGTCTAGGCTATTGCCTAACCTGAATTATACTTTTACATTTTCCCTTTTTTTTGAGCAAAGTCTCGCTCTGTTGCCCAGGCTGGAGTGCAGTGGCACAATCTCGGCTCACTGCAATCTCCACCTTCCGGGTTCAAGTGACACTCCTGCCTCAGCCTCCCAAGCGGCTGGGACTACAGGTGCACACTACCACACCCCATTAATTTTTGTATTTTTTAGTAGAGACAGGGTTTCACCAGGTTGGCCAGGCTGGTCTCAAACTCCTGACCTCATATGATCTGCCTGCTTCAGTCTCCCAAAGTGCTGGGATTTTAACTTTTTTTTTTTTTTTTTTGAGACACAGTCTTTCTCTGTCTCCCAGGCTGGAGTGCAGTGGCGCAATCTCAGCTCACTGCAACCTCGGCCTCCCGAGTTCAAGTGATTCTCTTGCCTCAGCCTCCCAAGTAGGATTTTAACTCTTTTTTATTCCCGCCAACTATCTTTGGATATGCCCTCCCTCCTCCTGATCCTCACTAAAGCCAGACATTAGAGTGCTACAAAGCTGTTCCAACTTGCAATTTAAAAATCAAGGATCACTTACCATTTGGCTGCCTCTGTTGGCTGAAGGCATGTATATCCATGGGAGAGAAGATGTCAGAATGGATTTCACGCAGACCCTCACCAGTATACTTGTTGCAAGCCAAAATGGAGTGTGTGCTCCAGTCAGTCCAGTACAATATGTCCTCAAATAACGTCAAGGCAAAAGGATGTGGAAGGGAACCTTTAACCACTGCCTGCCTATTAACATAAAGAGAAAAATTTAAACTTATTTCTAAATTTTCTTCTTCTATCATAACGTCACCTCTCCCATTAAAATGATCTTAGTTCACATTAACACATACAAATCTTGAGTAATACATACCAATAGGTCAAATACACCTATAAAAAATAATTCACATAATGAATTCATATATATTTTTAAGGTGTCCAAAAGCCCCAAACAAGCATTTGGGAATAGTCCCTAACTTGGCAGCAGCCTCAAGTTCAGTACAAGATACCCGGCAGAGAGAGAGCACTGCTTTTTCATTGTTTGCACTGCTGTCAAATCCTACTCTTCAACTACCATCTCTGGACTCACAGCTTCCACCCTTTCACACAATTCATGTCATCAGACAGAGAAAGGTAAGCAATGAGAAAAATCACAGGGGTTACAGTTGGCACTGAAGTAGATTTATATCAGCAATAGGTTTTTTCCTTCTTGATGTGGAAGAACAAAGAACCTGAGCCTGTTTTGTCCATCACTTCTTATGGTTTTGATAACTGAGAATGAAACATAAACATGAGGCCAAAATGGCATGCAGGTAGCACTCTCCCCGCAAACCCCAGTCTAGCTCCAGCAAGTGATCATCTTAGCTGACTTTTCACTATATTCAGGCAGCCAAAAAGAAGTCCTGTTAGTGGTAGAATATGTTCATGAGACAAAGCAGATCCAAAATTTTCACAAGCAATACATACTTTTTAAAAGGAAAAGTAGACAGCCTAGTTAGTACTTAAGGCACAGAACTTTGTAGAGTATTAGAGAGAGTTATAGAATAAGCAAATGCTGAGGGCCGGGCGCAGTGGCTCACGTCTGTAATCCCAGCACTTTGGGAGGCCGAGGTGGGTGGATCACAAGGTCAGGAGTTCAAGACCAGCCTGGCCAAGATGGTAAAACCCCATCTCTACTAAAAATACAAAAAAATTAGCCAGGCGTGGTGGTGGGCGCCTGTAATCCCAGACACTCGGAAGGCTGAGGCAGAGAACTGCTTGAATCCAGGAGGCGGAGGTTGCAGTGAGCCGAGATCGCGCCACTGCACTCCAGCCTGGGCGACAGAGCGAGACTCATCTCAAAAAAAAAAAAAAGAAAAAAAAAAGAATAAGCAAATGCTCTGGAATAATGAACAAATCACGTTTTGAGTCAAAATAATATTCAAGAAAATACATGTTTTGATATTTTCATAAATCCAAGTTTCCCAATAGCCCACCCAGGAGGCAGAGATGGGCAGAGAGGGAGGAAGGGAAAGAAAAATGAAGGGAAAAGGGAAGGGAAAGCATAAGCTACTGAAGAGAAATTAAAAGTATCATATATTTTAAGGAAGATGATTCAATTTTCAGGTCCTTGAGGTTAACTGATGATTTCTACTATCTAACAGACTACCAGCATATTAAATTAAAAGCAATTAAGGTCATTTTTACGTGTAAGCAGGATTACCGTCTGTGATTGCACATGGAATGATCTTAGTCTAAAGCATTATAAATTCAGACAAAATACCTGCACTGCCAACCCATATCACCAGTTTTCTCATTTTCCTTAATCCTCTCTTCCCTAAGTAAAAAGCTCACTATTCCTTCTAATTTCCCAAAGAGAACTGTCACAATACCTTCTCCTGAAGTGCTTTCTTCCACTTTTTAAATGGACAGTTTTATTAAATTTACTAAAGAGACTATATTATTTACAGGGTGATGGCACAGTTTATGTTCAATTTTAAACAGGCCTGTATATTTCACACTAAAGTCTTCCAAAATTCATGGTGGAAACAGAGAGAGAACTGAGAAAGCTGCCAAAAAAGACAAGTAACACAAATGAAAAATAAAGAGTAGTTAAAACTAAGTTACTTGGCATTTCACCATCTTAAAGAACTGCTTTGAAAAACTCAAGGAAAAAAAAGGCTTCAAAAAGTTTTGTATATCATTAAGTGAAAAGTTGAAATTCACTCTACTGAACTAAACATAGGAAAATAAACATATGGAAAAGGCAAAATCCCTAAAAGCTATATTCATTTTATATATTAATTGAATGCATAAACTTAGAACTCAGAGGTGAGCTTAAATCCCCCCTTGACACTTATTACTGACACCATTTCTGCAAGCTTTATTTCTTCATCTGTCAACGGAAGGTAATAATCTATCCTCACTGCGTTAATGTGAAGATTAAATAACATACGCAAAAGCCATTCAGCACTACGCTTGCTACTTAACACTTTCGTTAATGATTCCTCAATTTTAAGACACATATTTTCAATATTTTAACATTTCTGATATAAGGGTAACATTTACAATGTGAATATTTCATGTGGTAGTTTTTAAAATCAGTAAGTTCTTAAAATCAATGGCTTATTAGAATCAGTAAATACTATACTAATATTAATTTTTTTTTTGAGACAAAGTCTTGATCTTGTCACCCAGGATGGAGTGCAGTGGTGTGATCCTGGCTCACTGCAACCTCCGCCTCCAGGGTTCAAGCAATTCTCCTGCCTCAGCCTCCCAAGTAGCTGGGATTATAGGCATGCACCACCATGCCTGGCTAATTTTGTATTTTTAGTAGAGATGGGGTTTCACCATGTTGACCAGGCTGGTCTCAAACTCCTGACCTCAGGTGATCTGCCCACCTTGGCCTCCTAAAATGCTGGGATTACAGGCGTGAGCCACCGAGCCCGGCCTTAACACTAAATATAAATGTCACTTTCTTTTCATAGCCATTCTTAATTTCCTCCCGCCACAAGCCAAGTTAGTTTTCTTTCTCTACGTTCTCATAACAGTTAGTGAACTGTTTTATAACTGTTCACCTATCCAGCAACTCTATAACAGATGACCTTTTTGAGAGTAAAACTCTAGCTTATTTATATACCAAGGATCCCACACAATGGTAAGGTGTACAAATTAGGCAGACTTACTAAACACTCTGGGGATGCTTGATAAAATTAAATGTTTTTAAGAAAATATGTAATTAACAGAGCTGAACAAAAGGCAGAACTAAGAACACTATCATGCAAGGGTGATATAATGATTTGTCCAGCCAACTATGACTTGTTCCTGAAAGTAGGGATAACCACACAGAGTATTCCCCTTTCTTCTCTCTGGCTGAGATTACCAAGTAAGCCTACCTCCTGATCCCCATCTGGAAACACAAGTTACTTCAAGGAGGAGTTGATCATGGCTGCTAAGAACCAAGCTGGCAGGTAAGATCCAAGCCCAGTTCCTCAATAGTAGGTCACAACGATAACAGAAACTAAAAAATGGATCACCAAACTGGGGACCACAGAAAAGAAACAGAGACTCCCCCCAACCTCACTGAAGTTTTCATATAGTGCTTGCAATCTCTGAGCATCATCTCCTGCCTATGTCTGTCACATTCTGCAACTTACTGATAAAGCTCACCACTGCCAATACCTCCCAGGCACCTCTTGCTAGCTCTTTGAGATTCTTTGAACTCTGCAAGTGGTTCTTTTAAACTCTGCACCAACTGGACTTATCCTTTATAAAACACCTGCATGCCCTCATTTAGTTTTTGTTTCTGGACCTCCTCACAGATAGTCATCTTCTGCTCCTCTCTCAGAACTGCCCACTTGTGTGAGTAATAAATCTTTCTTTAATCATACCACAGGACTGCTGTCATGAGTTCTGACATCTGAACTTAACCTTGGAAGGAAGCTTCCCTTCACCACAGTGAAGCTGTAATAATATCTAAGAAGACAATGTCAGCAGTGATGGCAAAGCTTTGGAAAAATCTCCATGAATCCTCCATGTGAAAACAGAGAACAACTAGGTAATGAACCCCAAATCCCATGGACAACATTCACAACAAAGCTAGGTAAAACCCAAGATACAAAATGGTAGAGAAAACTACCAACAGCCATTAAGATATGACTGATATTGGCACCTCTGCAGGATATGAGAAAGAAACAATAGGACATCTGGCAGGACAGAACACATAAAACAGACAACATTGGAAAGCTTAGTAGACCAATCTGAGAACAGCAACCAGCTATGAGGTGTTCTGGCCACTTCAAGAGTAAGTGAATACAATGAATTCATCGTCAGGCACTGAAAGGTCTAGCACTATACTTTAACCTATTGTGAACTCTCAAAATTGTCCTTCCCGGGCTCCCTTCCAGACAAAGCGTCATACTGAAGAGAAATCACTGGGAGCGGACTGAAAAGTGTGCATGATTGGTACAGGAGAACAATGGGAAAATAAGGTACAGAAAAAAGCAGAAAAAGTAAAGTGGGAGAGCCAGGAAATCCAGAAAGCTAGCTGCCATTATTTTTTAAACACATATACATAGACATGAGAGTTCTGTGAAACTGGAGAACTTATGAACTCTGCCTTCTTCTGAATGTTCAAGCAAAACAGTTTCACCTGAAAATAAGAAAACAAATTACTAACATCAAATCCCATTAATAAGTTAATATTAAAAATAAGAAAAGGATAAAGTGAAGAATAACATTCCTACAGACAATAAAAAAGTATGCCAGAAAGATATAGAAATAGAACAAATTAAACTGATAACTTATTTCAAAACAGTCAAAGTATTTAAAGTAAGATACTAGTCATAAATGAACAACACAAATTAGAATCAGACAACTCACAAGTGAGGGGACAGAACTTGAAAGAATGAGAAATACAAAAATACATCATTTCAGAAATGAAGTCTACGAAATAAGAATGAATAAACATAATACATAAAGAAAAAAATGAAAAGGAAGAAATATTACATAATAGAAAAAAATATTTTCAAAAAATAAAATATTTGAAGGACAAAGGACAAGGAAGAGAACAGAACTATACTGGAACAAGGAAATGACTCCAGATGGTAACTTGAACCCTCAGGAAAAATGAAGAATACCAGAAATAGTAAATATGCAGGTTAATAAAAAAGACTCTATAAATAATGTTTTCTCTTTTTCCTTTAACCTTTTTAACAGACATAAGATTGTATAAAGCAATAAGTATAACCCTGTGTTAGATATAATAGAAATGAACTATAAATGACAATAATAGCAGAAAGGATGGGAGAGAGAATGGAGATATACTTAGAGTAAAATGTATGTACTTTTCATAATTAAGTTAATATTACCACAAAGTAGATTTTGACAAAATGCACGTTGCAATCCCTAAAATAATTACCTTTAAAATCCCCAAAATACAGTTTAAAATTATCAACCAAGGAATCAAAATGACACACCAGAAAATATCTACTTAATACAAAGGACAAAGGAACAAAGATGACATAAGATAATTTAAAAAAAAAAAAACACTAAAATGTCAGACATAAGCCCAACCATATCATTAATGACATTCAATGTGAATAAACACACCAATCAAAAGGCAAAGGCTGTTAGACTGAATAAAGCAAAGGTTACACTATATGCTGTTTATAAAAGCACATTTTACATTCAAAGATACAAATAGATTGAAAAGAAAAGGTTACAGTAGACAGTAACCATAAGAGAGCTGGAGCAGCTCTATCAGACAAAAAAGATTTTAAGTATAAAAAGGTAACTAGAGATACAGTGGCAGGTTTTATGAGAAAGAGTCATCAGGAAGTTACAATTAGAAACATACAGGTACCTAAAAACAGAGCCCCAGAACAAATGAAGCAAAACCTGACAGAAATCAAAGGAAAAATGGGCAGTTCAATAATATAGTTGGAGAGCTCAACACCCTATTCTCACTAAAGGAAAGAACAACTAGATAGAAAATTACCAAGGATATAGAAAATTTGAACATTATTAACCAACTTAACCTACTATCTATAGAACATTCCATGCAACAAAAGAATACACAATCTTTTCACGTACACGTGGAACTTTCTCCAGGACACCACATGCTAGGAGACAGAATTAATCTTAAAAGACTGAACTCATATAAAATAAAAAGACTGAACTCATATAAAATAGACTACTATCTGACCATAATGAAATTCATGAAGAAATCAACGGAAGAAAATTTGGGAAATCAAATTATTTTCTAAATTTTTGAAATTTCTTTCTCAATTTCCTCTAAATCAGCAATGAGTCGAGGAAGAAATTACAATAAAAGTTTTTAAATATTTTGAGCTAAAAGAAAATGAAAATACAAAATATGGAAACGTATATAGAATACTAATGCCTATACTAGAAAAGAAGAGAGATTACAAATCAATTATTTATGATTTGACCTTAAGAAACTGTAAGAAGAGTAGATTAAATCCAAAGCAAGTGTAAGGAAGAAAATAAAAACATTAGGGTTAAAAAAAAAAAAGGCAATGAAACAGAAAACAGAAAAACAATAAAGGGGGAAAAATCAATAAAACCAGAAGCTGGTTGTTCTTTGAAAAGACCCACAAAATTGACAACCCTTTAGTGCTAGACTGACCCAAAAAAAAAGACGCAAATTGTGAAAACTGTGAATAAAGTGATGAATGAAAGAGAAACACTGCCTTACAGAAATTAAAAGGATTATTAGGCAATACCATAAACAACTTTATGCCAACAAATTAGACAAATTTATGAAACAAAAATATTCCTGGAAAAAAACCAAATTACTAAAACTGACTCAAGAAGAAACAGAAAATCTGATAGATCTACAACAAACAAGGAAATTGAATTTGTAATTAATATCTTCCCAAAAAGAAATCCCCATGCCCAGATGGCAGGAAAAGTTGTATCAACTGGTCACACACTTTTCCAGAAAACAAAGAAAGAGGAAATATCTTCCGACTCTATGAGGCTGATATTATGCTAATCTCAAAACCAAATAAACACAAGAAAAACAGACTACGGATTAATATCCTTCACTATTAAAGACATAAAAATCCTCAACAGAATATTAGCAAACCAAATCTAACAACATTTCAAAAGAAGTATAAACCACGACCAAGTAGAACTTACCCCAGAAATGCAAGATCGGTTTAACAACTGAAAACCAATTACTGAAATTCACCATGTTCATAAAATAAAGAATAAAACCACATAATCATTTCCATAGATGCAGAAAAAGGAACGGACAAAATCCAGTAATTATTCATGGTAAATCTGTCCATGAACTAGGAATAGAAAGGAACTTCCTCAACCTGATAAAATCCCTTTATTAAAAAAACCTACAGGTAATATCATGCTCAAGACTATTTTTAATCTTTTTTAAAAAATAAAGCCAATACAGAGAAAAACATACAAAACAAACATATAGCTTAACAAGTTACTATAAGGCAAACACTCTTGTAACCACGAATTCACTCAGATGAAGGAAAAAAACTTGATCTGGGTGAATCACCCAGACGACTTCAAAAGGCCCTGCATGAACCCTGTCCCAATCCCTCCCTCTCCATAGAAGTAACAATTATTCTGATTTTCTATTAGTCACTTTCTTGCCTTTATAGTTTTATTGCTTTTTGTAAGTGTGCATCCACAGAAAAATAGTTTAGTCTTAAGCCCCATTTTCATTTGCTATTTCTTTTAAAGTCTCTGTTTTAAAAAATGTTTAACTGGTACATAATAATTACACATATTTGTGGGGTACACAGCAATGTTGCAATATATATAAGGTACCGTGATCAGCTCAGGGTAATCAGCATATCCATAATCTCAAACATTTAACATTTCTGTGTTGGAAACATTCAGTATCCTCTTTGAAATTATATAATGTTTTACCTATTAAGTACAGTCATCCTACAGTGGTATAGAATACTCAAGCTTTTTCTAACTGTAATTCTGTATTTTTTAGCAAATCTCTTCTTATCTCTTCCTTCCCAGCCTCTAGTATCCCCTATTCTACTCTTTACTTTTGCAAGATCAACATTTACCTTCCACATACGAGTGAGAACATGCATGGTTTAATTTTCTGTTCCTGGTCCTATGTCACTTAAGATAACATCCTCCAGGTCTATCCATATTGCTGAGAATGACAGGATTTCATTCTTTTTATGGCTAAATGGTATTCCATTGTGTATATATACCACATTTTCTTTATCTATTCATCTGATGTTGGACACCTAGGTTGATACCACATCTTGGCTACTGTAAATAGTGCTGCAACAAACATAGGGGTGCAGATGTCTCGATACACTGATTTCCTTTCCTTTGGGTAAATGCCAAGTAGTGGGACTACTGGATCATATGGTAGTTCTATTTGTAATTTTTTGAGGAACTTCCATACTGTTCTCCATAGCGGCTGTACTAGTTTATACTCCCACCAACAGTGTATAAGAGTTCCCTTTTCTGTGCATTCTTGACCGTATTATTTTTTGTCTTTTTGGTAATAGCCATATGGTAACTAGGGTGAGATGATACTTCATTGTGAATTTAATTTGCATTTCCTGGATGATTTGTGATGTTGAGCATTTTTTCATATGTTTGTGGCCATTTATATGCCTTCTTTTGATACATGTCTATTCGGATCATTTCCCCATTTTTTAACCAAACTGGTTTTTTGCTGTTGAACTGTTTGAGTTCCCTGTATATTCTGGATATTAATCCCATGTCAGATGAGTAATTTGCAAATATTTTCCCTCATTCTGTAGGTCGTCTTTTCACTGTGTTGTTTCCTTTGCTCTGTAGAAGCTTTTTAGTTTGATATAATGCATCTGGTATTTTTTGCTTTTGTTGCCTGCATTTTTGAGATCTTATCCATAAAATCCTTTCCCAGACCAATGTCCTGAAGCATTTCCTCTATGGTTTCCTCTAGCAGTTTTATAGTTTCAAGTCTTACCCTTAGGTCTTTGATCCATTTTGAGTTGATTTTTGTATAAGGTGAGAGGTGGGTTTCTAGTTTCATTCTTCCACATGTGGATATCCAGTTTCCCCAGCATCATTTATTGAAAAGACTATCCTTTCCCCAATCTATGTTCTTGGCACTTTTGTCAAAAAGCAATTGGCTATAGATGCATGGATTAATTTCTGGGTTTTCTATTCTGTTCCATCGGTGTATGTTTCTGTTTTTATGCCAGTACCATGCTGTTTTGGTTACTACAACTTTGTGGTATATTTTGAAGTCTGTTAGTATGATGTCTCCAGCTTTGTTCTTTTTGCTCAGGATTGCTTTGGCTATTCAGGGTCTTTTATGGTCCCATACAAATTTTAGGATTTTTTTTTTTTTCTATTTCTGTGCAGAATGTCATTGGTATTTTAATAGGGACTCCACTGAATCTGCAGGTTGCTTTGGGTAGTACGGTCATTTTAACTATAATAATTATTCCAATCCATGAGCATGAAATGTTTTTCCATTTGTATGTATCCCTCTTCAATTTCTTTCATCAGTGTTTTGCAGCTTTATCTGAAGAGGTCTTTCACTTCCTTGGTTAAATTTATTCCTAGGTATTTTATTAATTTCTTATAGCTATTGTAAATGACACTGCCTTCTTAATTTCTTTTTCAGCTAGTTTGTTGTTTGTGTATAGAAATGCTACTGATCTTTTTGTGTTGATTTTGTATCCTGCAACTTTACCAAATTTGTTGATCAGTTCTAAGAATTTTTTTTTTTTTGGTAGAGCGTTCAAGTCTCTTTTCCTGTCTGTCTCTTCCTTACAATCTCTCCGTTAAAGTACCTAAGATATTTCATTTATATGTCCAGATCTGCTGATGTACTCTCATGGTGCAGTTCAATGTTTCTCTGTCCTCTGTATTTCCTACAAATGGCCAGCTGATATACAGCCTTGACCAGACTCATGATGAATTGATCCCTTTGACAAAATAGTAGGCAGTAGTGTGTTCTTACACCAGAAGGCAAATAATGTCTGTTCTTTTTCTTCTTGTGATGTTAGTAGCCATCGACGCTCACCACCTAGACCCATTCGTTCACCAAAGTTATAAAATGGTGGTATTGCAATTCTGCCATTTCTTTTTCATTTATCAATTGAAATAGCTCTCCCATATCTACTATTTTGTTAGCCAGAGGTACACTCACATAGGAAAAGCAGGATAAATTGCTTCTTTCTTGTATTTACCAATGTTCAAGGTAATAAATTTGTTCCTATCATGCTCTAATCTAAGAGTAACCAATTCCTTTTTAAAATACCATTATGAACTCAAGAATTTAAACACACTTCACAGGTTTCTACCGATCTCTGGCCAGTGGGAATTCTACAGTCATTTCTCCAGTCTTTCTGAAATGACCCTAAATAGTCTTTAACAGCCTCCTTACTAACTGTTATGACAATGTTCCAGCTCAGCATGTACATTTCTTGCCCAAAACCTAGAATCAGCAATTTTGCCAGAAAGGCTTGGTTTCTTTTAAGGTGGAATGGTTTTTCCCAACACCACAATTTGGGTGCTACAGAAGTTCACTGCACACAGCACTGTAAATGTTCAATTGCTACTCAATTGGTCATTTTTGATCTAGTCCTCTTCAGTGTTCACAGTCAGGAAACAAACAAACACAGTTGGGTACATATATTTTTGAAAGATAAAATACCTAATAAGCGCATACTAGTAAGTAACTTTCCATTAAAATATGGAATAATCAGTTTGACTTAACCTCTGCAGTATTACATCTATACTTCCTCTCTTGCCCATTAAGAATCTAGCATATGCAGGAGCAATATATGTCCTAATACTCACTTACTTGATGCAACAATATAAAGTTTCAGAATAACAATATTAATTATGACCACAACAATGTAGTTACTATAAGAATTAAATTTATGGCCAGGCATGGTGGCTCCCACCTGTAATCCCAACACTTTGGTAGGCCGAGACAGGTGGATCACTTGAGTCCAAGAGTTCAAGACCAGCTGGGCAACATGATGAAATCCCGTCTCTACTAAAAATACAAAAAATTAGTCAGGTGTGGTGGTGTGCACCTGTAGTCCCAGCTACTTGGGAGGCTCAAGGTGGGAGGATAGCTTGTGCCCAAGAGGCAGAGGTTGCAGTGAACAGATTCTGCAACCTCTGCAAAATTCAAGCAATTCTCCTGCCTTAGCCCCCTGAGTAGCTGGGATTACAAGCGCCCACCACCATGCTCGGCTAATTTTTGTATTTTTTGTAGAGGCAGGGTTTCACCATGTTGGCCAGGATGGTCTCACTCCTGACTTCAGGCGATCCACCCACCTTGGCCTCCCAAAGTACTGGGATTATAGGCATGAGCCACCATGCCCAGTCACAAATCTTCTTGTAAGAAACTTTTTCTATAGTTGTTCATAGTTGTTCTATTCCCTTGCTTTGCTTTTCTTTCCAAAGAGTCTTATTATCTGTATGTTGTTTCTTCTTTGCCTATCTTCAGTATTTATCATTTTCTCTCAAATCATCTTTTGTCTTTCTGTATTTCTTTTTGGTCTTTAAATTTTTCCTCCTTTTCAACCTCTATTTAAAGGTTTTTTGGTTTATTCAACCTAGTGTCCCTTCTAGTTTTCTTTTCTGAAGTGATTTTTTAAATTCTTTCTTAAGTTCTATCATTTCATTTCTGAATTTTTCTCTTTTTTTTTTTTTTTTTTTTTTGAGACAGAGTTTTGCTCGTCACCCAGGTTGGAGTGCAATGGCACAATCTTGGCTCACTGCAACCTCTGCCTCCCGGATTCAAGCGATTCTACTGCCTCAGCCTCCCGAGTAGTTGTGATTACAGGCGTGCATCACCACGTCCAGCAAATTTTTGTATTTTTAGTAGAGACGGGGTTTCACCATGTTGGCAAGGCTGGTCTCGAACTCCTGACCTCAGGTGACCCGCCTGCCTTGGCCTTCCAAAGTGCTGGGATTATAGGCGTGAGTCATTTCTGAATTTTTCTAATCTTATGTTATCCTTTCACATGTCATATTGGTTCCTCAATGACTTTTGACTCATTTATTTATTTAAAATTTAAAGAAAAAATTTATTGAAGATTTGAAAAATAATTCCTAAAAGATTGACTTTTCCAGAAAACTAGCTACACAATGCATCTCATCTACCATGTTAAAATGTGCACTAGACACAAATACAAAAACCATGCAACAAGCCACCATTCTTCAACAATTTGAGCAAAGTTAAATGCCAAAGGAACAACATGGATGACTTGCAAAGAATGGGCTATTTAAGCACCATTTAAAAAAAAAAAAGGAGCACAAATGGATGAGTGTGTTCAGTTATATACACTGAATTGAACCTTTGGCACTAGGAATCACAGCATTTTGTCATATAGCATGAACACATATTATAAAAGTACGTAGGGTCAAAGGAACAGGACCACCAGCATTCAAAAGCAGCTCTGTCAACTAGGCAATAAAACACTCTATAGCATGTGTCTCTGTTGTCCATTGTTGAATACACTGGCAGGAACTTTGAAGTGAAAAAAAAGGTAAGATAGGAAAAAAGGAGCTATTACTCCTTTTATTTTCTCTGTTTAAAATTAAACAGGAAAACATCAATTGTTGTACAATAACATCTTCAAAGTGCATCATTTGTACAAAAGAAAGACTAAGAACAAAAATGTGTTTACAGAGATCCAAACATAAGTGAGTGAGAGCGTCTCTCAGACAGCTTTCTGATGGTTCTCTGGAGGAGCCATTCATAATTGCTGGGCACTAAAAAATGTTGCAGAATTCTTTGCCAGGTACTTTAGGGAACTGTGAAGATAATTCAGTAATAAAACAAGGCTCGGCCAGGCACGGTGGCTCATGCCTGTAATTCCAGCACTTTGGGAGGCTGAGGCGGGCGGATCACGAGGTAAGGAGTTCGAGACCAGCCTGACCAACATGGTGAAATCCCGCCTCTACTAAAAATGTAAAAACTAGATGGGCGTGGTGGTGCGCACCTGTAATCCCAGCTACTCAGAAGGCTGAGTCAGGAGAATCGCTTGAACCCGGGAGGCAGAGGTTGCAGTGAGCTTGAGATCATGCCACTGCACTCCCACTTGGGCAACAGAGCGAGACTCCATCTCAAAAAAAAAAAAAAAAAAAAAAAAAAAAAAACACAAGGCTCTTCTCATCCAGAGGTATATAGGCCAACATTGCTCCAATTTGTACATCAGTAGATGTGGTGCTCCATAAACCTTGGACATGAGTGCATGAGGGTGATCTGCAAGAATTTCAGCATACTGTGGTCTGTCAAACTTGCAGAGTAGCTGGGTGCCCAACATCACATTGAAGTATTCTTCTATCCCTGCCACAACTTCATTAACAGCATACTCATTATCTGTGTTTCCACGAGATTTTTTGCAATTTGCATAATCCTGGAGAATGGAATCCACATTCTTCCTGGCAGAAAGAAAAAAGAGATGTTTTTGTCTGGTAATTAAGTCCCAGTCATCAACAAGCCATGGTTTCAGCTCTTCAGGAATCTTCACTTTTTAGCTTCAACTCTGTTCATGAATGTGTCCTCATTTTCAAGAGTAGGATCTACCCGGGGGCCCTTTTCTTCCAAGGAGGCTGAGGCATCTCACTGGTACTGCCACCATCTCCATTTCCAGGTATTTTCTGTTTGTTCTTTTTTGTTTTCACTTCAACATTTTCTGTTGCAGACCAGATGTCTTCTTTCTTGGGGCAGCCCCTCTCATCTTCCCCTCTGCATACTGCTCCTGATGGGCTTTTTGAAGTTGTTTCTGCAAATTGGTGTCCACGTATTTGAGTACTCTGCTCTCTGGAACCCATGCATCCCAATTTTTATTCCAACCACTGTAATATATAAAGTATTTTACTTGTTTGTCCTTTATGGCAACCTTTACACATTTTGCTTCATAAAGAAGCAGCCCATGAAAGCACAGCACTTGCTCACCCTCCTGGAACTTAGGGTTTGAGTCCTGCTTCCACGTCATTTATAAGTGATTCGCAGCCTCCTCCTTCTCCAGCTCATTTTATAATAGAGATTTGATCTGTTCTGTGGTCATGTTTTTCTGGGGTGCTTTTATTTATAAGAGCTTTTGTTTTTTCCTTTATAATAACTTTAAATGGGATTTTACCTTGATACTTTTCTGTTTCTCTTGTCTACGTAAAATTAGTGTTCCTGAACTTTTAAAATAATGTAGAGTTCAAGGTAGTTTTTCTAACGTCACAGAATTCATTCCTCTGTTGTTTTCACATAATGTTCAAAAACCTAGTAGCTTGCTTTCTGAGATCTACTAGCCGTTGATCTTCCCATCTTTATCTGAACCTTCTCTTTCCTTCCCCTCCTGTTTTACTCTATTCTATTGTCCCTATCCTGCTCAATTTGGATTATTCTATCCTATTCAATTTTGTTTTAATCAGTGTGGTGCTCTGTCCTGGATGAGCACTCTGGCAGGTTCATTTCAGTAGTTCCATTTTGAGAGTTCGTTGGGGCTAGACTGCTCTAGCTTCTTCTGTCTTTACCATAGTCACACTGCACTTGCCTAATATTGGAGTGGGCAACCCTCCCACCCTCCTATTTCAGCTGCTGTTCTTAAAATAACCCACCATCTTGTCCAGCAAATAGCTGTGGCTATTTTGGCGTTCCCCTGCTTTCAAGTCTTATGAGACACCCTGTTAAATCTCCCTGCTTACTCTCGCATAGACAGTGATAACATGGAGGTCTTGTGGCTGTTGGTGGTTTGCCCTTATCTAGTTGTGCTTTCAAATGACTAAGGCTATAGTCAACTTTATCCATGTTTTTGGATTTGCTATCTAGTTTCTGTAGGTTTTAGTTAAAAACAAAAACAAAAAAACTATGACATGGCCACATCCATCTTCCTAGACTCCCCCTCACAGCCAGATTTGAGGTCAAAAACAGCAGTTGTTTCTATATTCATCATATACTTACTTTTTGACATTTAAATTTACTTAAAACCACATTGTTATATGTCATTTCACTCTTTTTTGAAAGAAGGCAAAAAATACTCCAACTCCATGATTACAAAAAGTTTAACTGAATTCTTTATATCTTTCCTGGTTTTCAATACTTCTAAATGTTCCTTATTCTTAGTTCAGGTAATTGACAAATGTTTATTATACTTTGAAAAAATCCTACAGTCACCAAAAACTCTCATCTGGTGAGGTCTCAGATTGAGATCAAAAACCAAAATTATCATTAAAACACAAGAATCCAAATATAAAATGTCTTTAAAAATCTGAACATAATCTGAGAAGAAATTCCATGTTTATGTTTTACAGACTTTGTCTTCCTTGAACACTGAAATGTATGGTATATGCAGTAGGTTTTCTCCTTGTCCAGAGATGAGCAAACTACAGCCCACAGGCTCATTCTGCTTTACAAATAAAGTTTTACACCAGGTGCTATGGCTGATGCCTGTAATTCTAGCACTTTCGGAGGCCGAGGCCGGTGAATCACTTGGAGCTCAGGGCATAAGACCAGCCTGGGCAACATGGTGAGACGCCATCTTTACAAAAATGACAAAAATTAGCCCGGTGTGATGGCGTGTGCCTATAGTCCCAGCTACTCGGAAGGCTGAGGCAGGAAGATCGCTTGAGCCCAGGAGACAGAGGTTGCAGTGAGCTGAGATCACGCTACTGCATTCCAGCCCGGATGACAAGGTGAGACTCTGTCTAAAATAAATACGTAAATAAATAAATAAAGTTTTGCTGCAACAGTCATGCCTATTCCCTTATGCATTACTATAGCTGCTTTTAAACTACAGTAGCAGAAGTAGTTGAACCGGAGATCATAAGCCTAAAATATTTACTATCTGAGCCTTTACAGAAAATCTTGGCCAAACCCCGTCCTAGTGTAGAGTTTTATCAAAGTTCCATTAGCAGGACTTGGGGCTTTACTGGTAATTTTGAGTGGGACACTCTTTGTTGTACTGATGCCCAGCACACTGCAGGATGTTTAGCAACCTTGGACCTCCCCTCCACCACCGGAACTAAAATACTAGTAGCACTCCCAGTCCTTGGGTTAAACAAAATTCTCTACACATTTCCAAACAAAGGCAGTAAAGATGCTACCCCTGGTGGAGAACCACTGAAGAACTAAGTTAGCTCAGAGTAAGGAAAGAGGAAATACAGTCTGTAAATTCTAAATGCTATCAAGATGGATGATAAATGTAATTACTTTTAAAGCACTTTTAAAGAGCTAACTAAAAGACTATTCTTCTTCCCCTCTGGCACTTAGTCAAAAATAAACATATTTCTTAATAAAATTAGGCTTTGTAATGTATCAAGGCTTCATCGAGTTTTCTTAAAAGTTTTTTCTAATTCTTGTAATCTTACCGATTTGTTCCATCCAGATTTGATTTGTGGATGAAATTAAGTTTTGCATCTGCCCAATAAAGCTTTTGTTCTTCATAATCCAAAGTCAGTCCATTTGGCCAGTAAATTTCACTGTTTATTATAATGAAGCGACTTGAACCATCCATTCCAGCACGTTCTATCTTTGGCACTTCTCCCCAGTCTGTCCAGTACATGAACCTAAAAATCATAAAAATAATTAAAGCCATGACAGAGCAGATATCAATCAAATACTCTGTAATTATTACTATTAAAGAAAGCTCAGGCCGCGCGCAGTGGCTCACACTTGTAATCCCAGCACTCTGGGAGGCTGAGGCAGGCAAATGACGAAGTCAAGAGATCGAGACCATCCTGGCCAACATGGTAAAAACCCATCTCCACTAAAAATACAAAAATTAGCTGGGCATGGTGGTGGTGTGTGCCTGTAGTCCTGGCTACTCAGGAGGCTGAGGCAGGAGAATCGCTTGAACCCGAGAGGCGGAGGTTGCAGTAAGCTGAGATTGTGCTACTGCACTCCAGCCTGGCAACAGAGCAAGTCTCTGTCTCAAAAACAAACAAACAAACAAACAAAACAAAAAAACACCTCATTTTAGGGACACTAAAACTCTTAGAAATTGTATTTTGAAATTCTAATATCTACCATTTGCAACTGCCCTGGTAATACCTGATTCAAACAACTATCATCAAGGATTCAAAAACCACTGAATCAAAATGTATTGGTAAAAAGGATATTTACACCATTTCAATGTATCTCCCCACAGATTACTTATTAACAACAAAGAAGAAAGTGATAACTTTAGAGAAAATAAACCCAGTGGATACCACCTTAACTGAGTCATCTAAATTAACATCACCAATAAGGGAACAAACTGGCATTATATACCTCTTCATGTGATATACCTTTACAGAACATAGTGTCTTTTATACGGTCTCTCTTGCATATTATTCCTGCCCCCAAAAAATGCATACCCCAAATAAAATTATGAGGAAACAGTGTGATTCAAGTCGAGAGACACTACAAAACAGTTGGTCTTTGACAATATCAATGTCATAAAAGTCAAAAAAAAAAAAAAAAAAAGGAGGGGGGGGTCAGGAACCAATCTAGACTGGAGGAGAGCAAAGAGATATGATAACTACATCAAGTGTATGATCTTGGACTGATGAAGTAGGAAGAAAAAAATGCTATGATCACTGGGGAGAAAAGGCAAAACTGATGTAGTGTCAAATTGCATAGTACTGTACTAATGTTAATTTCCTAAATATGCTAATTGTATTGTAGTTAGGATACAGAGGGGTTTGCTATACTACTTTTGCTTCTATTCCACAAGTTTGAAGACTTTTCAAAATAAAAAATGAGAAGTCTAAAAGTCTCATTACAGAAAAAGAAATTTTTCTTTGATGTAAAAGAAAAACTCTCTTGGGCTGGGCACGGTGGCTCATGCCTGTAATCCCAGCACTTTGGGAGGTCGAGGCACCTGTAATCCCAGCACTTTGGGAGGCTGAGGCAGGCGGATCACCTGAGGTCAGGAGTTCAAGACCAGCCTGGCCAACATGGTGAAACCCCATCTCTACTAAAAATACAAAAAAAAAAAAAAAGTTAGCCAGGAGTGGTGGTGGGTGCCTGTTATCCCAGCTACTCGGGAGGCTGAGGCAGGAGAATCGCTTGAACCTGGGAGGCGGAGGGTGCAGTGAGCCGAGATCACACCATTGCACTCTAGCCTGGACAACAAGACTCCGTCTCAAAAAAGAAAAAAAGAAAAAAAAATAGAAAAACTCTTTAATGTATTATACTTCTCTTAAAAGCATATTTTCAAAAGTTAATGAGGAGCCAGGAGTGGTGGCTCACACTTGTAATCCTAGCACTTTGGGAGGCCGAGGTGGGTGGATCACTTCAGGTCAGGAGTTCAAGACCAGCCTGTCCAACATGGTGAAACCCCATCTCTACTAAAACTACAAAAATCAGTCAGGTGCATGTAACCCCAGCTACTCAGGAGGCTGAGGCAAGAGAATCGCTTGAATCCAGGAGGCGGATGTTGCCTCAGTGAGCTGAGATTGTGTGCCACTGCACTCCAGCCTGGGCAACAGAATAAGACTCTGTCTCAAACAAACAAAAAAAAAAAAAAAAAAAAAAAAAAAGAGGTAATGAGGGTGCTATGAAACAGATCAGGCACTTAATAAATGTGTTGAAACCCAAATGAAATTCAGGTATAAGTTTTACTCAAATAATCGGTGGAATGGTAATACTGAAATGAATCTACTTAATGCATACTGATGTCTCCACTATTTCATATGAACTGCTTACTCAAAGAAATGATGAGGAGAATATCATGTAGGGGAATAAATACACCTTCTAGATACAAGGCACTGTGCTAATGGCTTCACATACATTATCTTACTTAAGCCTTAAGCAACCCTACAAAATATTATTTGTTCATCACCACATTTTGATGAGAAAACTGAGAAATGTAAGCACATCACTCAAAGTCACATTGCTAATAAATGAAGAACAGAAATTCAAACCTACATCTCTTAAATTCTGAAGTCTATGTGTATGTCATGGGTCAGAGCCTTGATTTTTAAAGAAGAGAAAGCAAAATGCTCCCTAGATTGGGGACAACAGTCAAACACTACCCAGAATGAGCGGTATGGACAAGATTAATACAGGATAAAACTGTGGCCATGAGCTGTGTAACAATGTGGTCAACAACAGACTATGTATAAAATGGTGGTCCTATAAAACTACAATACTGTATTGTCACTATACCTTTTCTATGTTTAGATACACAAATACTTACCATGGTGTTATGACTGCCACCACATTCAGTATCGTAGCATGCTGTACAGGTTCGTAGCCTAGCAGCAATAAGCTATCTTATATAGCCCAGGTGTATAGCAGGCTGTACCATCTAGGTTTGTGTAACACACTATGTTCACACAATGATGAAATCACTCAACATTTCTCAGAACATGTCCCTACTGTTAAGCGACACATGACTATATATAGGAAGGTAGACCAGACCATGTTACAATTTTTCATTTTGGCCAGGTGCGGTGGCTCACGCCTGTAATCCTAGCACTTTGGGAGGCCGAGGCGGGCAGATCACGAGGTCAGGAGATTGAGACCATCCTGGCTAACACGGTGAAACCCTGTCTCTATTAAAAATACAAAAAAATTAGCCAGGCGTGGTGGCAGATGCCTATAGTCCCAGCTACTCGGGAGGCTGAGGCAGGAGAATGGCGTGAACCCGGGACGCGGAGCTTGCAGTGAGCGGAGATAGCGCCACTGCATTCCAGCCTGGGCAACAGAGCGAGACTCCATCTCAAAAAAAAAAAAAAAAAAGAATTTTTCATTTTTATTCTGAGAACAACACAAAGGCACTTTAAGACTTTTAAAATTAAAGGTGATGGCCAGGTACGGTGACTCATGCTGTAATCCTAGCACTTTGGCAGGCCAAGGCAGGAGGACTGTCTGAGTCCAGGAGTTCAAGAACAGCCTGAGCAACACAGCAAGATGCTGTCTCTATTTTTTAAAATGAAAAAATAATAATAAAATAAAATTGGAGGTGAAATGACTGGCTTTGTGTTTTCAGGAGGGAGAAAAAAATGCCTGCGGTTTGGGAAAAAACTAGAGGAAAACTAAAAAAAATCCTGAGGCCAGGTCTTCCAATAGGCTCTGTGAGTTCAGCAAATTCTCTCCCTTAAGCAATTAAAAAAAAAAACAAGGTCAAATCTAACCACCAAAGCCTCCAAAAACTGACCAAAGGTCATACAACAAAATGAGAAGCATTTATTCCAGAAAAATACACCGCATCTCAATAAGAACTGTGGTATTTTAGCTAGGGGCTATTCCTATCCCCATCTATACTGCCAGGTTTGTGGCATAAACATTCTACTGTGGGCAAACATGGCAGGCCATAAAGAGTGGTAGCTACCTTTCCCTGCAAGAGGGGACTGACCTTATTTGGAACGAGGCATGGAAAAATCTGTACCCAGGAATGTTGTTAAAAACAAGAGTGGACTGGGCGCAGTGGCTCATGCCTGTAATCCCGGCACTTTGGGAGGCCAAGGCAGGGAGATCCCAAGGTCAAGAGGTCAAGACCATCCTGGCCAACATGGTAAAAACCCTGTCTCTATTAAAAACACAAAAAATTAGCTGGGCATGATGGTGTGCACCTGTAGTCCCAGCTACTCAGGAGGCTGAGGCAGGGGAGGCTGAGGCAGGGGAATCGCCTGAACCTGGGAGGCAGAGGATGCAGTGAGCCAAGATTGCACCACCGCACTTTTGAGATTCCGTCAAAAAAATAATAATAATAATATTAATAATAATAACGCTTTCAGTGGCAGGCATCACGAGGGCCATTATCTAACTGACTCTGGTGGGGGCAAGCAACAAAATAGCAAACTAGCCAGAAATCTAACAGGAAGATCCTAGGAAAAAGACTGCCAAGAAGAGCCTTAAGTGGATATTCATGCTTAGTAGTCAGGAAGGCTGTCTGCATGTGTAACGCTACACCAGAAAGAACACTTGCAAGCTAGTCTCTGGCTGAACATGGGTCAAATTTGAAATTGCCTAAAATTTTAAGACATTCTCCAAACCATAAACAGGTCCACAGGAAAATGGGGTAACACTAACTTGCTGGTGTTCAGGAACAACCTTTAAGCAATCATTAGCTGACCACTAAGATAACAGTGACACAGAGGCAATCCCCCAGAAAGCCAGGCATAAGAAATATTTTAAAAGGAAAACAGACCACAGAAGTAATCCAGGAAAGTCATTAAACAAAAACACACAACAATGGCAACAAGCCCAGGGAGCGGTCAGAATCCAGAATCCAGTCAATATAATATATTCATACAATGGAATACTATTCAGCAACATAAAAGAACTACTTATCAATGTCAAGGATGACTTTTTAAAATTATGTTGAACAAAAGAAACCACACATAAAAGAGTACCTACTACGTGATCCCATTATATGAAGCTATAGATGTAAAATCAAAAAGACTAATCTATGATGATAAAACCAGATTCACAGTTACTGGGGAGGAGTAAGGGATTGACTGTAAAGGGGCTTAAGGCACCTTCTGGAGTAGAGTAATGAACGTTTGTCTTAGGTGTATTTATCAAAGCCCATTTAACAATCAACAAAAAAATATGAATTTTTTGCATGTAAATTCTAACTCAGTAAAGTTGCTTAAAACGTGAATAAGAAACATAAACTATTTCAAGAAGTTAATTCAAAGGTAACTTTTCTTAGAAACCTTTCCCAGCTTACTAAGGCAAAGTTATTCCCTCTTCTGAGCTCTTGGCAGGTTTTGTTATATACTATAGTACTTATCAGAGTTTGTAGATAAACTATAAAGAACTCAAAGGTAAAGACTAGGTGTCACTACCACATCACAATGACTGGCACATTGCACGTATTCTTTTTTAAATAAAGATGAATCCAGACCTTGTGCTTTCCATTTTCAATTTCTCCTCTAACCCCCAACTCAGTGCACACTGAAATGGGTAAAGGAAGACACATGAGATGCTACAAGAAGAGAAAGAAGTACAAAAGGTTAATAACCTAAGCATAGGGACAGCCAGAAACAGTGAAATGGTTTTGTGTGCCTATGTCTATTATAATATATGAACTAGATTTCTCCTCAGGATATCTTTAATACACAAATCAATTGATATTTCCATCTTGATAGAGTAATACAGTTAAAAACAAGTCCACAGCACACTTCATTAGCCACCTCCCATCTTTTCTCTATTAATGCATAAAATGAAAACTACCAGTATCTTTAAACAAACAAGTGTAGAGAAATAAGAAGTTACTCTCACTGCAATATCTACTAATCTATACTCTGCGCCGTGTGTGCAACATGCATTACTTGAGATTACGTGATACAAAGTTTGAAATGTTGCCATCACAGGCTGGGCTGACCAGAAGCAATTTGCACACTATAAAGACAGAAAATGCAATAAGGGCTATTGTCTTTCTTGTACAATATAATTTAGGTAGGTTTCCTAACTGTAACTAATCTAAGCATTTAACTTTGTAACTCAGTGTCTAGTTTATGGTGAAATAAAATGTTACAAATGAGTGAGTCAACCTAACAAGATTTTAGTAATGAATAAAAGTATTTGCATGCCACTATGTACCAAAGCTAATGGATAATCCCTTCATTATTCAACCCTAAAAAATAAATCAAGTCATGTTTTTTCAAGGATAAGACCCAGATAAAGATTCCAACTACAATAAGTGAAACTAAGGCATTTGTCAGATGAGAACTTGACGAAAATTAGCATTTTTAAATAGATTACAGATGTGCCTTCATTTGTGCAAATATTTAAAATATAAAGGAATAGATTTCATCTATAAATACTAAACATTTTCATTAACTTTTAAATTAAAAAGCTCATTACAAATGTAACCGAAAAAGCGATTAGGACACAGAAAATTTTTAAAAAGTATTTTTTAAGTTACCAATATATTATTCAATTTTCTTAAGGTTTTGAACACCTATTAAAGCGGTGAGCACCTATTAGGAGCTAAGCACCATGCCTGATACAGGGAATATGAAAATAAGCAAGGCAAAACTATTGCCCTTACGAAATTCGCAATGTAGACAAGGAGTGGCAAGTATATTGAGGAAGGTATAAACAGGAGGCTCTGAGAGTATAGAGAAGTGACACCCAATCAAGTCAATGAATGTAAGAGTTGTCAATAAAATATACCAGAGAAAGTATGTATTTTACTTAGGCAGTTGCCAAAATGGGAAATAGTGTTCCAGGAAGAGGACATAGCATATGAAGTCATGATATATTCAATAAACAGCAAGAAGATCCATAGAGCTGTAGCATATCGTGAGGTACATTGACAATGAAAGAAATCCCACGTGTATTATTTTACTATACTAAGAAACTTGGACTCCAGTGACAATAACATTGAGGGACTGGCTAGAGGAAGAAGAAACAAGAAAAAGCCAGAAAACTGAAATATTCCAAATAAGAACTAATGAAGGCAACAGAAGTTGAGGACTGGATCAATATGAAAGAGGAATGAGAAAGGATAGACTAGGATGGCTCCCAAGATTTACAAATGTGAATGTGTGTGTATTGGTGTCATTCAACATAATATGGAATTAGATGTGGTTTGGGAGAGCAAGATGATGAGTTCAAATATGGATGAATTGAAGCATCCTCACCTCATTGTTTTTCCTTCTGTATCCAGACCACCAGTCAATAGAATAACAGGAAAATCAGTGTAAAAATAAGTGAAAGTTGGTTAGAAAAGGTAAATAAAGTAAAAAGCATATTAACAGTCAAAGAAGTTGGTCTACAGTAACAGGGCAAAATAAATCACAATTACGAGTTGCATATGAAACTAAGTCAATCCAGAAGTGTTGAGCCATGCTAATTCTAAGAACATTAATGTGACACATGTAAGTAACTCTGAAAGGACCTATAAAAAGCCACAGGTCCTCAAAAACATTTTGTTGCCATCAAATTTATTTTGGGGGAAACTTCAAAAATCACATACATCATTATCAAATTGAAAATGCAGCCAGTGAAAATAGTTCTGATTTTAATGTGAAAAAGAAAAGTGTTGTGTAAAATTCACACCCTTCCTGTTACTAACCCCTGAACTTGATTCCTGACCCCATGTTCCTCTCTTACTCCGGTTAGTAGATTAGGCTTTAAGTGAAGAGGAGTTTGAAGAATTTACGGATTTCTGCTTCCTAATAGAAGTGAAAAGAAAAAAAGAATTGTGAAGAAATCGGACCTACTTCTGCACTTCCCCTCTACTTGATCATGTGTTGGTATCATATTTTAAAAACAAGTAGAAATTAATAAAAGAGGATAGTGAAAGCATTCATGTTAGCAGGTTGGTTTCTGTGGTTGTTTTTACAGAGAATATACAGTAACCAGATAAAAGAGTCTGGGCTGGGTGCAGTGGTTCACACCTGTAATCCCGGCACTTTGGGAGGCCAAGATGGGCGGCTAATGATGTCAGCAGTTTGAGACCAGCCCGGCCAACATGGTGAAACCCCAAACCCCAACTTGACTAAAAATACAAAAATTAGTTAGGCGTGGTGGTGGGCACCTGTAATCACAGCTACTTGGGAGGCTGAGGCAGGAGAATCACTTGAACCTGGGAGGTGGAGGTTGCAATGAGCCGAGATCGTGCCACTGCACTCCAGTCTGGGTGACAGAGCAACACTCCGTCTCAAAAAAAGAGAGTCTGGAATGGAATTAGATAGACATGGTTTGGGACGGTAAGATGATGAGTTCAAATACGGACGAACTGAAGCATCCTAACCTCACTGTTTTTCCTTCCGTATCCAGAGTAGGGATGGCTTTGTCATCCCATGTTTTTACCTGTCCCTCAATAGGGATAATAATTCTACCTAATTACTTGCTTGTGACAGTATGCATCATCATGAAATTCTGAATGTATAAACTGGTTGCCCTGGAGAAAATAAGAACCTCATGAACAGCCTTAAGCACCCAGTCTAGTCGATTACTTTTAAAAAGTTAGTGGACATAATGCAAAGAATATATTTAATTCAGAAATAACATTGGTAAACCACTACTAGAAGATAAAGATTATAACCTGAAAGCGGGTAACAGATTACATCAATTTAATTCCCAACTATCATCAAAGAAAATGCTAACTCTAGTAATTTTTCAAAATTGCTGTTATACGTCATTCCTCTTTCCAAAGAATCAAAGGTGATGCATTTTGAGCGCCTCTAAGTTTAATAAAAATGAAATATTAACTGTCAGGAATGCCCCCTTCAAGCATACTCTCCTCTGTGCTCCTGCACGTTATTCTGATACTATGCTCCAGGTACAAACTACATCTCTGTACATTTCAAATACAGTATTAGGACTGTTTACTCATATGTTTTCACCACTCTAGATTCCAGGTCCTTGAAAACAAGGACTTTGTTTTATTTTTTGTTGTATCCCCTATCCTAAAACAATCTAGCATAATGCCAAGTACACAGTCAGCACTCAAATATTTAATAATGGTCTGCACTCACCTGCTCGTGAGACCTCTTGTATCTGTCTTATTACCAAGGCCGTATCCTTGAAAAATACAGGTAAAATTTTATTTTAATGATTACATTATTCTACTATGCTCCAGTTATGAGCTGCTTTTCTTTGAATGCACAAAAGCATGAAGAGAGCCTGTCACATAATATTTCTACTGACTAAAAATTATTACCCACTTCCACACCTTGTCCCTCTAGCCAACAACTGCTCGGCTAACAAGCACCACCCTAAAATAGTGCATCCCCACCGCCCCCCTGCCAAGTAAAAGTGAATACTCTGTCCTTTGTGTCCCCACCATACAGATTTCCATAGCAAAACTTATAGTTTCACTGGTTTATTCATGATTCTATATAATCAGTCTCTTTATATATTTTGCAACTAGTTTGTCTCAGAAGGTATACTAGAATATCCTGTCACTCAAATCTGGAAGCTATATATGCTTCACTGACTTTTTCATTAAATGGTCTCATAGAGAGAATTTTATTTTTTTTAAGGTAAATTTATTTCAGTCATGCTCTATGAGAACTTCAACTACCTTTCTAATAAATACATCAAAATTAGTTTCTGAGGAAAATTTTGTCCTTGACCTTGAGAATTCTTGGTCTTGAGAATTAGAACTTATCCAGCTCACCTCACCTGCTTTAACTGAATTGCACTTTGCCCAGATGCCGCAGGGACAAATGCCAAAGAAATGTGTCACTGTGGATATTATAAAGATATTGTTGAATATATTTTTCATTATATCATATAGCAGCTTCTTTAGAGGACTAATGGGAAGAAACTGGTTTCATCATCTGGAGTAAATATTTTTTTCAGTGAACAGCTTTTATCTAAAGGACATTAACTCATACCTGATACTTTCTTCCCTAAGGAATCTGGCTTAAAATCAAATGTGTGTGGAAGTATATGGGAATTAATGACATATGTTTTGGTATGTATATTTTCACTCCTGGTCTCATCTTACATGTATACTCTTATATTTCCATCTCAATTTTAAAATTTTATTTTATAAAATTAATACATTTATTTATTTTGCATCACTTTTTTATATCTTCCTAAAACATCTTAAATCCTTTTAGAGACAAAGTAGGAAAAACATTTACTATTTTTTTCAGTTTAGCTATTGGGGATTAAACATTTTTCTTATTAATTTGTATGCACTTTTTATATATCAAGGCTAACTCTATTATTAATATATCTGTTACAAATATTTTTCTTTGTCTTTTTTTGCTTGAATCAAAATTTGGTTGAATCAGTATTTTTCTTTGCAATTTCTTTCATTGCTTTCATGCTTAAAAAGCCCTTCTCTCTTCAAAGATTAAACATTCACGTTTTCATTTGATGTTTAAGTTTTCACTTAAAAATTTTTATCCATCTAAAATGTATCTGAAGTATGACATGAGATACTGATATAAACTGATTTTTTCTTTCCTAACGGTAAATTCTTCTAGTATGACGTCCCTTCCCTCTTGATTCCCACTCCTTTTATCACGTTACAAATTGTAACGTACAGTATTTTCCTAATCTACTTGTTTAATATCTATTTTTTACACCAATAATGTCTCATAGATTTAACATTAGCTCTATTAATACCAGTCTTGGATAATCATGTGACCATAGTTTTAATTTTCATCTGCAAAGTGAATACTTCACTAGTTGATGTAAGGATTAAAGTAAGACACTTTATATAAAAGAAAAGTGTCTTTCCTACTGGCTTTGACCCTTCTGCTCTGATCTGGTTGCAGGACAGTTCTTCATATTTATCATCTTCTCTTAGACTTTTACCATTACCCACCCCATGGGGTCTTTTAGTCATCTAAACTCCCTGCTAATACCTATTTTATAACAGTAACCAACCAAGAAGCCAAGCAGCACCCCACTCTCAAAACACATTTTCAAAAATATGTCATAAGTAAAAGAATATTTATTGGATGCAGGTATATTACAAGAGAAAATTTAGGACAAAATAGCATTTACTCAACAAGAAAAAGGAAATTTTCCTTTATTCTTTAATAAAACATCTCAGTTAATATTTACAAGCACTGGATACAAATACTTCCTTTATGTTAAACCTAACACCCCCTTACCAGTAAAGATAAGCTTCCTTTTCATAACAGGTGAATACAATGTGCCATTCAAAGGCCCAGTCAGCTTACTAAAAACCCATTCTTCAGATATCTCATAAATCAACTATGTTATATAGTAAGAACCTGAAGTCTTTAATCATCATAAACACATTCCTGCAAAATAAATACATAAGCTTAATTCTTAAAAGGCAAAAGCTTAAAATTCATGATCTGATTTGTAAAATATGCTAAGACTAATCTTTTGGTTGCATTTATTTGAAATTTCTAAGTCATGTGAGAACTTTCTTTTTCCTTTAACTATCAGAGCCTATTTCTGTAAGCAAGCATAGAAAAAATAGTTTTCCTGGTTGGGGGAATATGGAATGCGTTTTCTCCATTTGAAACCAACCCATTAGTTCCCTAGATAGGTTTTGGATAAACATAGAAGTTGACCCTTCTGGTCTTAAAGCTTGAATCTTACATTTGTTTTACCTGAGTTCCTTCCTCAGGAAATGACCTTCAGGCTGCTCAAAGTATCAAATAACTGAAACTCACCAGATCACCACATTCAGACAGACAATAAGATGCTAGACAACTCATTCATCATGATTGCTTCCTTGGCCCGCCTTAGTTCCTGTTTCTTTTACATTTCTTCCCTGCTATATGAACCCTTCGTTTTAGTCACTCAGGGAGATGGTTTGAGACTGAGTTCTCATCTTCCTGGCTGCAGCACCCATGGCAATACTTGTTGTCTCAGTCACTGGCTTTCTCTGCAGTGAGCAGCATGACCTAGACCAAACCCCTGGTGTTTTGGTAACTCATTTTTATTTGCAGTTTCTGACATCCTTACAAATAAACATAAAGTTAACATTTTTACAAACACTTCCTAATAAGGAAAAGTTTGAGGAGGGAAGGACATCACAGGGAAATAAATATCACAGGTTCTCCCACTGATCCCTGAGATTTGAGGGGACAGCAAACTGTGCAGAAATAATGAAAAAAAATAATAAAAATAGTCTGATAAAAACAGTACTGTTGTTTACTATTACTAATGGCCTTAATCAGTAAGGACTAAGATTATTTTATTTTATTTTATTTCATTTTGAGACGGAGTTTCACTCTTGTTGCCCAAACTGGAGTGCAATAGCGCGATCTCGGCTCACTGCAACCTCTGCCTCCCGAGTTCAAACAATCCTCCTGCCTCAGCCTCACATGTTGGCCAGGCTGGTCTCAAACTTCTGACCTCAGGTGATCCGCCCGCCTCGGCCTCCCAAAGTGCTGGGATTACAGGCGTGAGCCACCGTGCCTGGCCAAGGACTAAGATTTAAGATTTCAGTAGACAGTGTTTTCAGGTATTAAAGATCAGAGTTTTCTTTTAAGAATCTATTTGTGGCCAGGCGTGGTGGCTCATGCCTGTAATCCCAACACTTTGGGAAGCCAAGGTGGGAGGATCACCTGAGGTCAGGAGTTCGAGACCAGCCTGGCTAACATGGTGAAACCCCGTCTCTACTAAAAATACAAAAATTAGCCAGGCATGGTGGCGAGCACCTGTAATCCCAGCTACTTGGGAAGTTGAAGCAGGAGAATCACTTGAACCCACAAGGCAGAGGTTGCAGTGAGCCAAGATGGGGCCACTGCACTCTAGCCTGGGCGACAAGAGGGAAACTGCCTCAAAAAATAATAATAATAATGATCTATTTGTGTGATAGACTAATGTATCTGCCTAATTGCTTCATCTTTTTCAAAATCTTCAAAGCGGTTATGGTCTTCTATACCTCTCCTCTGGTCCTAATTCGCTGCAACAGACTTTTACTTCACTTTCTTCTGTCTTAATTAAATCCACCCACAGACACACACAAACAGGGAGAAGACAGAAAGATTTGGAGACCCCTCTATCTATCATAAGCCAAAAGCTATTAGATTTCTGAATGTCCTGGATCTTCCAGCACATTTCAAAGTGACTTTGTTACCCACAATGGCCATAATGCAACATTGTTTTATAATGATTTAAATTTGAGGTTTTAAAAAATGATAATAATATAGCCAATTATACTTTTTATTCAGCTGAAAAATATGAGGGCCTGAAAACAATGTAAATAGTATTTGAGAAGAGAAGACAAATCCAAGAGCTACTTAGAAGGCAGAATAAACAAGAATTGGTAACTGATTAAATGTGAGGAGTGAGGAGGTGGGGGCCTAGAATGACTCAGGATTTTTAGTTTCTGCAACCGTTAGGTAGAATGACAGTTGTTCACAAATTCTGATATTTTGTTATAGGGTTTTCTTGGATGTGGTCTTCTCTCTGTACTTAAAATTTAAAAAAAAAAAAAAAGAAAAGAAAAGCTTTGTTAAAGGTTGTTTTCTCAAGCCCCAATAAAACTAACGGATAATCCAAACAGCCTCTTTCCAGACTTCCCATCCCCTACCCTTAAGGCCATTTTCCAGAATACTCTGAAATTAATGATTATATTACCACCACATCCCCTCCCACACACCCTCCCCCTCCCTCCCCCTGCCCCTGCAATCTGGGATTATGTAATTTCCTTACTTTCAGCATGAATCCCAAACTTCTTAGCATGACATATAAGAGCCTTTCTAATTTGTTTCTCTGCTTTTGGTTCCTCATTTCTCACGGCTCTAGTATCCTGCCTATTGCTACCAGACTGCCTTTCATAAAATACAGTATCATGTAAACACAAATCCTTTATAACTGGGGTCCCCAACCTCCAAGCCAGAGACCACTACCAGTTCATGGCCTTTTAGGAACCAGGTCACACAGCAGGAGGTGAGCAACAGGCAAGTGAGCAAAGCTTCATCTGTATTTATAGCCGCTCCCTATCGTTCATATTACTGCCTGAGCTCCGCCTCTGTCAGATCAGTGGAGGTATTAGATTCTCATAAGAGCATAAACCCTATTGTGAACTGCGCATTGCAAGGGATCTAGGTTGCGTGCTCCTTATTAGAATCTAATGCCTTATGATCTGTCACTGTTTCCCATCACCCCTAGATAAGACCATCTAGTTGCAGGAAAAAAACTCAGGGCTCCTACTGATTCTACATTATGGTGAGTTATATAATTATTTCATTATACATCACAATGTAATAATAATAGAAATAAGGTACACAATAAAGGTAATGTGCTTAAGTCATACTGAAACCATCCCTCCAGCCCAGTCCGTGGAAAAACTGTCTTCCACAAAACCAGTCCCTGGTGCCAAAAAGGTAAGGGACCACTGCTTTACGAGACACTCTTAGCTTTAAAAGCTATAGGGACTCAGATTTCCCTATTGCTAAACATACTACAAAGCCACAGTAATCAAGACAGTGTGATACTAGCATAAGGACAGACATCTAGATAAATTTAAAAGAAATGAAAATCCAAAAATAAACCCTTATATTTATGGTCGATTGACTTTCAATGAGGATGTGAAGACAGTTCAGTGGGGAAAAACAGTCTGTTCAACAAATAGTGCTGGGATAACTGGATATCCACATGCAAAACAATGAAGCTGGACCTCTAAAGGACATACAGAAATTAATTCAAAAACGATAAAGACCTGATTGTAAAAGCTAAGACCATAAAACTCTTAGAAGACAATGAGTAAATATTCATGATCCAGAATTAAAAGAATGGTTTCACAGATATAACACTAAAACCACAAGCAACAAAAGAAAAAAACAGATCAGACTTCATCCCAAAACTCCATTATATGTGTGTTTCAAAAGATACCACAAAGAAAGTGAAAAGGCAACCCACAGAACAGGAAATCAGTATTTGCAAATCGTATGTCCGACAAAGGTCTGGTTTCCAGAATATATAAAGAGCTCTTAGAACTCAATAATAAAAGGACTTACCAGGCATAGTGGTTCATACCTATAGTCCCAGCGACTGGGGAGGCCAAAGTGGGAGGACCACTTGAGTCCAGGAGTTCAAGACCAGCCTGGGCAACATAACGAGAACCCCCATCTTTACCAAAAAAATTTAAAAATTTGCCTGGTGTGGTGTCACCCACCTATGGTCCCAGCTACTCAGGAGGCTAAAATGGGAGAATCGCTTGAGCCCAGGGAGTTGAGGCTGCAATGAGCCATGATCATGCCACTACATTCCAGGCTGGGGAACAGACCAAGACCCTCTCTCAATAATAATAATAATAATAATAATAATAATAATAATAATAATACTATACAATTTTAAAATAGGTATTTCACAAATCAAGATTTACAAGTGGTCAAAGCACAGAACATGTTCAACATCAGTCAGTAAGGAAATGTAAATCAAAACCTCAATAAGACATGCCTATACACCCACTAGGATGGTTATAACTTTTTAAAAAAGGAGAGAGGGCCAGGCACAGAGGCTCACACCTGTAATCCCAGCTACAAAGAAGGCTGAGAAGGGAGGATCACTTCAGCCCAGGTGTTTGAGGCTGCAGTAAGCTATGACCATGCCACTGTACTCCAACCCAAGTGACAGAGCAATACCCCCATCTCTTTAAAAAACAAAAAACCAGGAAGAGACAAAGAATAGCAAATATTGCAGGAAAGAGAGAAACTGAAACCCTCATACACTGCTAGTGGAAATATAAAAATGGTAGAGCAAGTTTAAAAAACAATGTGGGGCTGGGTGTGGTTGCTCACGCCTGTAATCCCAGCACTTTGGGAGGCCGAGGCGGGTGATCACCTGAGGTCAGGAGTTTGAGACCAGCCTGGCCGACATGGTGAAATCGCACCGAGATCTCACCACTGCACTCCAGTCTGAGCAACACAGCAAGGCTCCATCTCAAATACAATAAAATAACAACAGATTACTTGTAGGGCCCACTTTAGTTACAAATTTTATACTCTTAACTGTCTACCCCTTTTTGGTTTTTGTTTGTTTGTTTTTTGAGACAGTCTCACTCTGTCGCCCAGGCTGGAGTGCAGTGGCACCGTCTCGGCTCACTGCAACCTCCACCACCCGGGGTTCAAACGATTCTCCTGCCTCAGCCTCCCAAGTAGCTGGGACTATAGGTGCCCGCCACCACGCCTGGCTAATTTTTGTATTTTTAGTAGAGATGAGGTTTCCCATGTTGGCCAGGATGGTATCGGTCTCTTGACCTTGTGATCCGCCCACCTCAGCCTCCCAAAGTGCTGGGATTACAGGCGTGAGCCACCCCAACAGGCCAACTGTCCTCCGCTTTTGTATCTACCATTGCACCTCATTCATTTTTCAACATTAGAAAGGGGGAAAAAATACAAACAAGACTCAAATCACAGCAAAGATATCCACAAATCCTGTAACCATTCCCTTTCATTCACAAAATGTTCTTTCATGGATATATGGCACTGGAGGGGGCTACCCAGCTTTATCGAATCCACTTTCCTATGTTTGGAGAATTCTTCACTTTATAAGGCAGAACCTTGCCCTAAAACTAAAGAAACTGAAAACCAGGTATTTGCTTTCCACATCTCTCTCCTAACTGGGACAGGGTTACGTGTAAGTCCTGAGCTTTTCCAGTCAGACAAACCAACCCCGACTTTGAAAAACTGAATCAACAAAAGGAGGAGGACGTAGAGGTCAAAGAGGAAGCAGCGACAGAAGCAAGCCCCATAAGCAATCCATTCTGGTGAGGTTGAAGGCAACAGCAACAGCTAATTTACTCCAGTTTGAATTAATTAATCCTTCCAGCTGGGCACGGTGGTTCACGCCTGTAATCCCACCACTTTAGGAGGCTGAGGCGGGCGGATCACCTGAGGTCAGGAATTAAGAGACCAGACAGGCCAACATGGTAAAACCCTGTCTCTACTAAAAATGCAAAAATTAACCAGGTGTGGTGGCACACGCCTGCAGTCCCAGCTACTAGGGAGACTGAGGCAGGAGGATCACTTGAACCCAGGAAGCAGAGGTTGCAGTGAGCTGAGATCATGCCACTACATTCCAGCCTGGGCAACAGAGCGAGAACCTGCCTCAAAAAAAAAAAAAAAATTCTTCCTTCATCCAGTTTTAAAAGGGAACACTGACAACAGTTTTAGGAGTATCTGTCACCTTATGTCAGAGAAAGTACAAATAGTGTGAACATGTCACCTAACAGTGATGCTTTCACTGGACCAGCTCTGCAGTATAGTACGTAGCACACTGTTCCTGCACAAGACTGGTTCTTCTACCCTTTAGGAAATTCTATGAATAGCCCAATATCCTCTTTAATCACAAAGCCATTTATGATTAAAGTAGAGGGATTTCTATTATTTAAGACTATGAACACTAACGCATATTTTTCTTAGTTTTTTTTTTTTTTTTTGAGACAGGGTCTCACTCCATCACCCAGGTTGGAATGCGGTGGTACAATCTCAGCTCACTGCAACCTCCACCTCCTGGGCTCAAGCGATCCTCTCACCTCAGCCTCCTGAGTAAATGGGAGCATAGGAGTGCGCCACCACACCCGGTTAATTTTTTCTATTTTTAGGAGACACAGGGTTTCACCACATTGCCCAGGCTGGTCTCAAACTCCTGAGCTAAAGTGATCCGCCCACCTCAGTCTCCGAAAGTGCTGGGATTACAGGCATGAGCCACCACGCCCAGCCTAACACATATTCTTAGATCACAACGGCATCCCAAAGCATCACTTTAAAGTTCAGATAAAGTAACTTCAACCCTTGCTCTGACAAAGTTTCGTATCTTACAACTCCCTACCTTCTACAAGTGGCATGTTTGCAGTCTCAGTTCTTCCCACAATCTACTATGACCCCTCTCTCCTTAAGAACCAATGTCAATATTCGTGAGACTGGTTAGCAGAAAACTGTCAGCTAAATCACATCCTGACCCTTCTTTCTGTACACACATTTAAAACAACATCTTGATGCAAACTGATATAAAAGGAACAATTTATTACAGATGCAAAAGCCAACTTAACATTAAACTTTTGTATTTATATCACCATAAACAATGAAGTGTAAGAGAAAACCCAATTGAACAGTTTGGTTCACCCATGCCTTCATAACTTCAAAACCCAATAATCATCAATACATAATGATGACAAGATAACCAGTTCTTGAATATTAAGAAACTAGAATTGTTGCTTTAGCATGTTTAAGACTATGCACCTCCCCCCTCTTCCCTCTCTGACACACACACACAAAATAACAGCATCAACAGCATCAGCAACATCATGAAATACCTACAACAAAAAATTTCAACCCTGGCAGCACTTGAGAATGACCTAAGAAATTTATTTTAAAATATCCATTATGTGGGTTCTTTCATCAGAGATTCTGATTCAATTGGTCTGGGCTCGAACTCAGGAATCAATATTTTTTTAACAGCTTCCCAAGGAATTCTAATGCACTCACACAGGGCTTAGAACCAGTGAAGAGGAACATAATGTTCTCAAGCACCTGTTTATCCATAGCATTCTATTCTTGCACAGCTGGTGTTAATGTATTTAACTCATTAACCACTGACCCTAAATATTAGCTAATCATTAAGCCCCAGTTGGTACTCGCCTGTGTGGAGGTTACCACATAGTCTGGGAGGATGACTTAAAATATTTTATTTTGGTGTTGGACTGTGTCATCTATAATTCTGGCTTCAGAGAACAGAGTAAAATATGATTGAGATTTAATTGGTGGTTTTTCTGAATTGATCTAGGAGTGATCTGCTAAATGCTTTATGTACTTATACCCTTCCACTGTGCAAGACCATATAGGGGAACAAAGTAACAACTAAAATTCCTTCTCACACAATGGGTTTCCACATTTCCTTCAAAAGCTCTACAAATTGGGAAGGGGGATTTGAAAAGTTCACAAGTACTGCTTAAATTTTACTAAGCAGTAAATTTTACTAAGTAAAAATACACACATCTGTGAGAATAAAAGTAGATTTTCAAATTTCCACTATAACCTTTCAAGCTTTTGGCACCCAATTTTATATATTTATAGCGATAATCCTCTATATATAAAGAAAGATCACGGCCGGGTGCAGTGGCTCACACCTGTAATCCCAGCACTTTGGGAGGTCGAGGCGGGCGGATCACCTGAGGTCAGGAGTTCAAGACCAGACTGACCAACATGGTGAAACCTCATCTCTACTAAAAATACAAAAAAATTAGCCGGTCGTCGTGGTGGTGCCTGTAATCCCACCTACTCGGTAGGCTGAGGCAGGAGAATCGCTTGAATCCAGGAGGCGGAGGTTGCAGTGAGCCAAGATCGCGCCATTGCACTCCAGCCTGGGCGAGAAAGCAAGACTCCGTCTCAAAAAAAAAAAAGAAAGAAAGAAAGAAAGAAAGATTCCATTCTTGCGGGGGAAATATTCCAAGACCCGCGGTGGATGCCTGAAACTGCAGAGTACCAAACCCTATATATACTATGTTTTTTCCTATATATACATACTTATGACAAAAGTGTGGTCCATGAACCAATCAAGCTCCATCCTACATCTACAGAATCAGAATCTGCACTGTAATAAGAGAATAAAACCAAAATACTATCTTTCCTTACATTAGTCTTTATAACATCAGAAAATACATAGTAAATGTATAGTAATAAAAGTTACATATACAATCCTAAAAATAACACTAACGAATATTTCTAGGATAAGTATATAAAGCATTTAGCAAATCACTCCTAGACCAATTCAGAAAAACCACCAATTAAATCTCAATTATATTTTACTCTATTCTCTGAAGCCAAAATTATAGATGACACAGTCCAACACCAAAATAAAATATTTTAAATCATCCTCCCAGACTATGTGGTAACCTCCACACAGGCCATTAGTTAAGAATAGTAACAATTATAAAGATGTTCCAAGGATTTTAAGAAATACCTCCCTAATTATTTCACTCAAGTTCTTCATTTCATCAGAAAAAAAAAAAAAAAAAAACCAGGACCTAAGACCTGAATTTTCCCAAACCTTTTAGATGCATGTGATGGTCATTTATCTGAGCCTCCCAGAATGACTGGGAAATGAACATCCTACAAGTCTTGCCACAAACCAAGTGTTTAACAGAAAATTAGGCACAAGTATTAGCTACACTGAAACCTTGTTGCTGTGTTTCCCCTTGGGAATGATGGCTAAGGTAGAACCATACCGCACATATTTAAACAATAATTTACATAAAATTACAAATACTGTAAAATACAACCACTACTCTTATGATGAAGGAATCTGCACTTGTTTATATCAATACAATCTTTCATCTTGAGGGTCATTCAACAATATGACTGGTAATACATAGGTATGGGCCTAACACCCTCCCCCAGTCTGTGAGATCTGACAAATCCTACAGTATTTTTTAAATCAAATGCTAAAAATATTAATTATACTTTTCTACTACTCCTATCTTAATTTTTAATGGGTATAAATTCCAAGGCTGAGATTATTTTTCATTGTTTTAAGGTTAATCAACTAACCTTATTTAAAGTGTACACTGTATATAGTAAGCTAAACATGGACTAAACGCTGATGTCTCCAATTCTAATCCTTTACCACATGGATCACTCTAGCCTCCTTCTCCTTGCTTGTAACTTTCCATTCCAACAGTGAGAAATCTGGCTACCACAATCCACCATCCACTTATACTTAACTGTTTAGTATACATTACTAGAGGTATCAGAATTGCAGTATCAGAATTGTTAACTATACCTTTATATGAAGCAATATTATCAACCAATGTACACTACAAGTAAAGAATATGTGCAGTGCCTTTTGCCTTTAGTATTACAGGCACTATGCATCTCCAAAATTAATTAGATCAACAGTTTTCCCCCATCACCCACTTCAATGAGGTTGTTTTATACATCTCTAATACAATTAGATTCTTCTGTCTCAATCTGCATTCCATCCTGGAATCCCCCAGCCTCCTAAAAGATGGTCTTTTAAAATTCGTATTCATTAAGGTCCACGCTTTCTGCTATAAAGTGCTATGGGTTTTGACATCTGTGTAGTATGCTTTTTTCCTGTTTCTCATCTTCTACATATATAACATCTTACAAACAATTTTACCACCATTCTTCAAACAAACATACATACTTCCACAGTCATCTTCAATTCTACTAAACAGTACAGTCTACATGCTTGCAGGCTTATCTCCATGCACATACCACCTTTTTTTTTTTCCCACAATCTCTAGGAGACTCATTTCAGAAAACTTCACTTTCAAGATTACTAACAGTTGTCTGCTCATGATTAGGCTTCAAAAGAAAAATGTTAAATTTATTTATATAGAAAACAGATTTCATATCCTTATTTTACAACCGAGTTCTCTAACACTTATGTGTCTATCAAAAATAAATTAATGAAAGCTTGAAAACAGTTATGAATTCATTATACTGCTTTCACATCCACTTCAAACTTCCTATATATAAACTGATATAACATGGGTTCACTTACCCAGCTCAGTCTCACTATAAGGATTTTTAAACAAAATCAGTCCAGTCCACTGAACAGTATCAGCTTACTGCAGGTACATTGTCTTTCATAATAAATAACAGTATCAGTAATGCAATACCAACACACAGGGAACTAGACTAAGACCAAGGATATAAATAAGGTAAGAACATACCTATTCCCTGGATGCCTGCCTGAATCCAAATTAAAACCTTCTGAATGGCCAGGGGCGGTGGCTCACACCTGTAATCCCAGCACTTTAGGAGGCCCAGGCAGGCGGATCACCTGAGGTCGGGAGTTCTAGACCAGCCTGACCAACATGGTTAAACCCCATCTCTACTAAAAATACAAAAATTAGCCGGTTGTGGTGGCAGGCACCTGTAATCCCAGCTACTTGGGAGGCTGAGGCAGGCGAATCGCTTGAACCCAGTGGGTGGAGGATGGGAGGATGCAGTGAGCCAAAATCACGCCACTGCACTCCAGCCTGGGCGACAAAGCGAGACTCCACCTGGCCGGGGTGGACGCAGTGGGGAAGAAGCTTGGAAATCGTTACTCTATCCTAATAGTGAGTAAAAAGCTAAACAACAACAACAACAAAGATCAACAACTCTTCTTAGATCCACCAGAGAAGTAAGGTCACAGGGCAAACCACTGCCCCCACAATTGGATAGACAGACAAGGTGATAACAAAGGATCATAATTTATCAAAGCAGAAATCCACAGACAAAAACCTCTCTACAGGAGCCAGCACCCGAGTAGGAAAACCTAAATTGCGATTGATGACTTGCTGGAGGCTTAGTATAGACAAATCTGAAAGTTAAAAACTCTAGGGACACTTTTTTTGGTTTTACCTCCAGGAGCTCTACCAGGTTCTCACAGTAAAGATCCAAGCCAGTGTGGTGGCTCACTCCTGTAATCCCAGCACTTTGAGAGGCCGAGGCAGGTGGATCACTTGAGGTCAGGAGTTTGAGACCAGCTGGACCAACATAGTAAAACCCCATCGCTACTAAAAATACAAAAATTAGCTGGGCATGGTGGAGGACACCTGTAATCCCAGCTACTCAGGAGGCAGAAGCAGGAGAATCGCTTGAACCCGGGAGGCAGAGGTTGCACTGAGCCGAGATCACACCATTGCACTCTAACCTAGGCGACAGAGAAAGACTGTGTCTCAAAAAAAAAAAAAAAGAGAGAGACCTGAGAAAAATACCCACTGCTGCCTGTGCAAGGAGAGTTCTTGTAAAGCTATAGTACTGGTAAGGTCTGCCCTCAAGAAAATCCATCTTACTACAGCCTAACCAACCTGGGGGAAGGAAAATATCCAGCTCCACCTCCCTCTCCCCGTCTACACAGAAGAAGAGAAATACTTAACTCCAGCCTCCTCTAACCATTCTGTCCCACCTAAGGGGATGAAAAGAACTGAGAAGCACTTGTGAAGCTCACAGCCCAGGGCAATGGCTGACTAAACAACTGAAATATAGTCATTGAACTATAGACTATTTTTTCTCTCCCCACAGCTTACCATCACATTACAAAAGGCCTATATATCACAATTCCTTTTATCTGATATATCATATCCAGCTTTCAACAAAAAATTACAAGGCATACTAAAAGACAAAAAAGCAGTTTGAAGAGACAGAGCAAGTACCATAACCAGATTGAAATATGGCAAGAATATTGCAATAAACAGACAAGAATTTAAAGCAACTATGATTCATATGCTAAGGATGCTAACGGGAAAAAACAGACAACATGGAAGAATAGACTGATAATGTAAGCAAGGGGAAAAATCAAAGAGAAATGCTGGAGACCAAAAACACTATAACATAAATGAAGAATGCCTTTGATGGGTTTATTAGTATACTGTTCATGGTTGAGGAATCTGAGCTTGGGAATATGTCAATAGAAACTTCCAAAGCTGAAAAGCAGATTTTTTAAAAAGACTGAAAAAAAGGGAACAGAATATCTAAGAACTGCGTTCAGTTCAGCAGCACATATACTAACACTGGAACAATTCACAGATCAGCATGGCCCCTGCACAAGGATGACATGCAAATTCGTGAAGCGTTAGTATTTTTATAATATATATTTTTAAAAACAATAAGAACTGTGGGACAATTATTATACAAAAGGTACAACATACACATAATGAGAATACAGAAAGAGAAAATATTTGAAGCCGTAATGACAGAATTCCACACAAACTAATGTCAGACAGCAAACCACAGATCCAGTCAGCTCAGAGAACAAGCGGGAAAAGGCAAAACAAAACCAACCACCACCTAACACCTTGGCATATCATATTCAAACTGCAGAAAATGAAAAAAATAAATAAATCTTAAGCAAGAAAAAACACCTTACTTGTAGAAGAGCAGGATTACATCCAACTTATCCTCATAAACCATACAAGCAAATAGAGAATAGAGCGAAATATTTTAAAATTCAAGAGAAAGGAAAAACAAAGAAAAAACTGCTAGCCTGGAATTCTCTACCCTGCAAAATTATCCTTAAAAAGTGAAGGAGAACTAAAGACTTTCTCAAGACCAACAAAAATTGAGGGATTTGTTACCAGTAGACCTGCGTTTTAAGAAATGTTAAAAGTAGTTCTTCAGAAGGAAGAAAAATAATATAGGTCAAAAATAGATCTACAAAAAGAAAGTAACGGCATTAGAGAAGGAATAAGTGAAGGTAAAATAAAAACTTTCTTTTCCTTTTTTTTTTTTTTTGACACAGAGTTTTACTCTTGTTGCCCAGGCTGGGGTGCAACAGCGCAATCTCGCCTCACTGCAACCTCCACCTCCCAGGTTCAAGCGATTTTCCTGCCTCAGTCTCCCGAGTAGCTGGGATTACAGGCACGCACCACCATGCCAGGCTAATTTTTTGTATTTTTGGTAGAGACGGGGTTTCACCATGTTGGCCAGGCTGGTCTCGAACTCCTGACCTCAGGTGAGCCACCCGCCTTGGCCTCCCAAAGTGCTGAGATTACAGACTTAAGTCACCACACCTGGCCTTTTCTTATTCTTAATTGAGCTAACAGGTAACAGTTTGTTCAAAATAGTAACAGCACAGTGTAGTCAATGATTTTAGCTTATATATAAGTGAAATGAATGATGGCAACAATACAGGGGATGGAAGGGAGAAATTAGGAGTATTTTGTTTCAGCCAATTCTGTTGTAAGTCCAAAACTGTTCTAAAAAATGGTCTTTTATTTAAAAAACAAACAAAAGGCAAGAGGGGAGCCCTTTCTGCTTCAGTTTGCTGTTCTGTAAAGCTTGGCACTCATTTTTAGTGGTCAGTGGTCAATAAGACTGGTACCAAATCCTCATTTGGCACATTTCCCCGAGAGTAGCTAAATTATGTATCCAAGGTAAGGATTAAGAAAGAGAGCCTGGCCAGGTGCAGTGGCTCACACCTGTAATCCCAGCCATTTGGGAGGCCAAGGCAGGGGGATCACCTGAGGTCGGGAGCTCAGGACCAGCCTGGCCAACATGGTGAAACCCCCGTTTCTACTAAAAATACAAAAATTAGCTGATGCACGCCTGTAGTCCCAGCTACTGGGGAGGCTGGAGGCATGATAATCGCTTGAACCCGGGAGGCGGAGGTTGCGGTGAGCCCAGATCACACCACTGCACAACAGCCTAGGTGACACAGCGAGGCTCCATCTCAAAAAAAAAAGAAAGAGAACCTAACAGGAAGAGATAAATGCTATGCCTAAAAGGTAACAAGTAGATGTCTTCAGTTTATGCAGTGACCCAGCAGCAGAATGAGTCTTTAGTCTCAGGATCTGCTTTATGAGACTGTGCCCTTCTCTAGTGCAGGGGTCCTCAAGCCCCAGGCTGTGGACCAGTAGCAGTCAGTGGCCTGCTAGGAACTGGCCGCACAGCAGGTGAGCAGCAGGCAAGCGAGCATTACTGCCTGAGCTCTGCCTCCTGTCACATCAGTGGCAGCATTAGTCTCAGGAGTGCGAACCTTATTGTGAACAGCGCATGCAACAGATCTAGGTTGCACACCTCCATTTGTGCATCTAATGCCTGATCTGAGGTGGCACAGTTTCATCCAGAAACCATCCCACCCACCCCGCTACTGCCCAGTGCCTGTGGAAAAACTGTCTTCCACAGAACCAGTCCCTGGTGCCAAAAAGTTTAGGGACCACTGCTCTAGGGAAAGCAGAAAATGGCAATAGGCCCCAGCGAGCTAGGAAAGAGGCATTCATTGCATTCAAGGATGCAGCACTGAAGCTAACCCAAGAGGAGTGGTAGCTACTGAGGCCTGCTCAGAGGACATGGTACAGGGATGTGATGCAGGAAAAGTCCTGAGGGAAAAAAACATTCTCAAGATCTGCTAGGATATGACACAAACATTTTCTATTATGAGGAAAATGAAGAATATCGGCCCGGCACAACGGTTCACACCTGTAATCCCAGCACTTTGGGAGGCCAAGGCAGGTGGATCACCTGAGGTTGGGAGTTCGAGACCAGCCTGACCAACATGGAGAATCCCCATCTCTACTAAAAACACAAAATTAGCCTGGCATGGTGGCACATGCCTGTAATCCCAGCTACTTGGGAGGCTGAGGCAGGAGAATCGCTTGAACCCGCAAGGCGGAGGTTGCTGTGAGCCGAGATCATGCCATTGCACTCCAGCCTGGGCAAAAGAAGTGAAACTCCATTTCAAAAAAAAAAAAAAAAAGAAGAAGAAGAAGAATATCTCACACTGAGACTTGAAAATCTCTCCCTTAACTCAGCCATTTAAAAATTAAACTGTGACATAAACTCCTTGACTACTTCATTTTATTTTAGACTCTTTCAAAAAATAAATAATAATTGGTGTGCAAATATTAAGGAGCAGGTTTGGTTGTTTTGTTTTTGTATTTAATCTACCTTAGAATCTACCTTAGAAACCTGTAGACACATAAAAGCACTTAACAATGAAGTTGCTTAATTCAACTAGTTGTGTAATATATTCTGCAAGGGCTTTTATCAGCAACATATTTTAAAGCCAATTTTAGTATGCTTTGGGAAACAGAAAGTGTGTGATAAATATCTCCCTTGGCTTCTCAAAAGCTAGGCTACAGGCTTATATAGAAGAAATCTCACTTCAGCAGTAATCTTTACTAACTCTGGTTATGTAATCTATTTGGCCTCTAATTTATTTTGGCCTCAATTAGCTTTATTTTGGCTTTGAATTAAGAGAGAATGAACATATGTACTTGATAATGATTAAATAAATATATGTGGTCACAGCTCCACTTTGCAATAGTATACACATCTGCTATTCATCCAAAAATCATGAAAACCAGGACCAGGCTGTTATATGCTGTTCATTAGCGTCCACACAAATGTAATTTTATTGCTGTGTCTGGTCTCATATTCATTTGTAATGCTTTCTGGAAAATAATTTTTAAATGGAGTGAAAGGTAGAAGATGAGCTTCATTTTAACTGGGAGGGAAGTAAAGCAAGTAAACATATATTAAGTTTTCAAGATGTCACAATTTCTTATGCCAGGAAAATAAAAATATCTCAAACTGATAATAAGACTAGACACACAAGCCATTTTATACAAATTTACTTTATACATTTTTATTACAATCCAAAGCATTTAATTTATTTGATTAGGTAAGGATAAAACAACAAATCTTCCAAAATATTCACAAGCCCTAATTTGGTAAGTATACTCAATCTGAATTCGGCTTCCCATAATGAAAATGTTCAGTTTCAATAAATCTAGACTAAAGGGATGAAATTTCACCCTTTACAAGATGTAATTACATACACAGGTGACTAATTAAGACATTGAGACTTGAGCTATAAAAACTAAGTGACCCAGATCTATACTAGATCATAAATCATGTCATGATCCTTGAAGTTACTTATATAATCCTATCCATAATTAAAATAAGTCATTAATATACATATTAGCAAGTATGAATAATCCTCAACTATCATGCACATGGTACATGAAAGAATAGACAATATTTTAAAACATGTAAGTCAGAGTTTCTATTCTGGTAATATGGTAAAAAGACAACCAGAAAATACTTCTTTTACAAAACATCTAGAACTACTGGTGAATCTTTTTATTTGATTTGTACATATACACAAAATAAAATATACAAACACCCCTTTAAATGTAGAACTTATCAAGAAAGTAGGAGAAATCTCCTGAGACCAAAAATGAACAGGAAAGTAAAAAGCAGTACATGGCCAGGCGCAGTGGCTCACGCCTGTAATCCCAGCACTTTGGGAAGCCAAGGTGGGCAGATCACAAGGTCAGGAGTTCGCGACCAGCCTGGCCAATATGGTAAAACCCCGTCTCTACTAAAAATACAAAAATTAGCCGGGTGTGATGGCAGGCGCCTGTAATCCCAGCTACTTGGGAGGCTGAGGCAGGAGAATGGCTTGAACCTGGGTGGCGGAGGTTGCAGCAAGCCGAGATCGTGACACTACACTCTAGCCTGGATGACAGAGCAAGACTCCATCTCAAAAAAAAAAAAAAAAAAAAAAAAAAAAGCAGTACATGTTTGACCTGATGCTATGACGACCCTGGATTTTCTGATTTCAGAAACTGAGAAACTTCTGTTCCAATGACAAGCCAGAGAAGATCTTGGCACACAAGACACAGTGTTAGAAGTAAGATTCCTGCACAAAGCATGGACTCTCAAAGAACAATGAAGTAGAAAGATCTGCCCACTGGCAGAGGGACACAGGAAGCCTTTTTTGTCTTGCCCTAGGCTCTGAAAAGGTAGGAAAGATCACCAAAGATTTCATAATCATAAGACTGCCCCTACATAGGTTTAGAGTTTGATTTATTCTATCCACATAGTACAGAAACTCCCAACTTCAAAAATTAAATATAAAAAATGACTTCTGCTTGAATAAGGCAATGATAACATTTGATAACTCATTTACCAAAACTCAAACTAAGCCGGGCACAGTGGCTCATGCCTGTAGTCCCAGAAGTTTTTAGATCAGCCCAGGAAACGGTTTTTTTTTTGTTTTGTTTTTGTTTAAACAACAACAAAAAAAACTCATGCTGAGCAGCGCAGTGGCTCATGCCTGTAAGCCCAACACTTTGGGAGGCTGAGATGGGCAGATCACTTGAGCCCAGGAATTCAAGTCCATCCTGAGCAACATGGTGAAACCCCATCTCTACAAAAGATATGAAAATTAGCCGGATGTGGTGGCACACACCTACAGTCCTAGCTACTTAGGAGGCTAAGATGGGAGGATTGCTTGAGCTTGGGAGGCAAAGGTTGCAGTGAGCTGAGACTGCGCCACTGACGAAGCGAGACCCTGCCTCAAAAAAAAAAACAAAAACAAAAACAAAAACAAAACTCAAACTTCACACTTGAGATCTGTGCAATTTACTGTATATAAATTATACTTTAAATAGTTAAGTGGTCGGCTGGGCACGGTGGCTCACGACTGTAATCCCAGCACTTTAGGAGACCAAGGTGGGCAGATCACGAGGTCAGGAGATCAAGACCATCCTGGCTAACATGGTGAAACCCTGTCTCTACTAAAAAATACAAAAAATTAGCCGGGCATGGTGGCGGGTGCCTGTAGTCCCAGGTTATTGGGAGGCTGAGGCAGAAGAGTGTCGAGAACCCAGGAGGCAGAGCCTGCAGTGAGCCGAGATCGTACCACTGCACTCCAGCCTGGGCGACAGAGTGAGACGCTGTCTCAAAAAAAAAAAAAAAAATTTAAGTGGTCACTGGAAACACTTCCAGTGAACTTGGCAAAAGCAACCCAAAATCTCTCTGGAGGAATATGCCCCCAAGTCATTCAGAATTCTCAAGGACAGCCTCTCTGAAGATCTGTTCACAGTCCAAAACTATATAAAACACTCGAGGAAACATTTAACCTTAAGCAAGAATCCAGCAGGTGCAAAAAAAAAAAAAAACAGAAGTAGATTTTTAAGAACTTCAGAAAACTGAACAACTTGATAGAGATTATAAATATTTAAATGATGAAAACACATAAAAGATGGAATAAAATATATGACACAAGAAAAGACATCATCAAACAATAACATATCTCTAATAAGAAAATACAAGAAGCAATCCTCAGTGCATGCTAAAATAATCAATAGATGAGTGGTTAATAAGGAACTAGGTATTTGGCAAAATACAAAAGGATCATCCCACAAATAACTTAAGGACACAAGAGGAAAGGGCTCAACTTACAAATAAAGATAGTAACTTTCAGGCACTAGAGTCAAAAACCAAATATTATAACAAAAGATGCACCTAACATCCCAACTGCTCAGAAAATCTGACCATCTGAACCTACTGAATAATCTTAGCAACACTACAATATAGGACAACTTCTGATGTGACAAATACAAAGTACTCAGTACTACCTATGAGGCATTCATGTCAAAATGTTAAATCTGTCTCTAATCAAGTCTTCAAATCTTTCTTTCCAAGTAACACAGGGGGATAAAAATAAGTCAAATACCACAATAATTTGTTAGAAAAAAAAATTGTCTGGGCGCGGTGGCTCATGCTTGTAATCCCAGCACTTTGGGAAGCCAAGGTGGGTGGATCACAAGGTCAGGAGATCGAGACCATCCTGGCTAATGCGCTGAAACCCCGCCTCTACTAAAAATACAAAAAAATTAGCCGGGCATGGTGGTGGGTGCTTATAGTCCCAGCTACTCAAGAGGCTGAGACAGGAGAATGGCGTGAACCCGGGAGGCGGAGGTTGCAGTGAGCCAAGATCATGCCACTGCACTCCAGCCTGGGCAACAGAGTCAGACTCCATCTCAAAAAAATAAATGAATGAATGAATGAAAATAAAAAATCTGGGATATTCTATAGGACAGCTGACCCAGTCTTTTCAATTAAGTCAACAAGGTGAGAGATAAAAAGGGAAAGGGGGAGGACCAACTGAACTGCTCTAGAAAAACCACATACAACTTGTAAACCAAATGTTTGGACTCTGATTTCAAACAACCAACTATAAAGCAACATTTCTGAGACACAGATATCTGAGTATGAACAGACTAATTTATAACATTAAAGAATTGTTCATCGCAAGTTGTGTGAAAGACAGTGGCATTATGATTCTAGAAAAAATATTTTTTAGAGATGGAAAATAAAGTATTTACAAGTGAGATATCGATGTGTGAATCTGCTTTAAAATATCTCAGCTAATTAAAAAAAAAACCAGCCTAAAAGCCTACACATAGAGAGTAGTTGAATAAACTATGGTACACTCACACAATGGTATACTATGCACTGGCAAAAAACAATGAGGAAGATCTCTATGAAATGATATGGAATGACATTCAAAATGTTAAGTTTTGGCCGGGCACGGTGGCTCATGCCTGTAATTCCGGCACTTTGGGAGGCCGAGGCAGGCGGATCACAAGGTCAGGAGTTTGAGACCAGCCTGACCAACATGGAGAAACTCCGTCTCTACTAAAAATACAAAATTAGCCAGACGTGGTGGTGAATGCATGTAGTCCCAGCTACTCGGGAGGCTGAGGAAGGAGAATTGCTTTAACCCAGGAGGCGGAGGTTGCCGTGAGCCAAGATCGCACCATTACACTTTAGCGTGGGCAACAAGAGCGAAACTCCATCTCAAAAAAAAAAAAATTAGCAAGGCATGATGGCACATGCCTGTAGTCCCAGCTACTTGAGAGGCTGAGGCCAAAGAATCACTTGGACCCGGAAGGCGGAGGTTGCAGTGAGCCCAGATCGTGCCACTACACTCCAGCCTGGGCGACAGAGTGAGACTCCGTCTCAAAAAAAAAAAGTTAAGTTTAAAAAGAACATGCAAAAGAGCATCTACTGTATGTTACTCTTTCATGTAAGAAAAGAAGATTATAAGAATATACACATTCACGGCTGGGCACAGTGGCTCATGCCTGTAATTCCAGCACTCTGAGAGGCTGAGGTGGGTGAATCACGAGGTCAGGAGTTTGAGACCAGCCTGACCAACATGGTGAAACCCCGCCTCTACTAAAAATACAAAAATTAGCCGGGTGTGGTGGCGCACATCTGTTAATCCAGCTACTCAGGAGGCTGAGGCAGGAGAATCGCTTGAACCCAGGATGCAGAGGTTGCAATGAGCCAAGATGGTGCCACTGCACTCTGGGCGACAGAGAGAGACTACGTCTCAAAAAAAAAAAGAATATACACATTCACATTCTGAGAACGGAGATATAATAAAAGAAAAAAAAAGAATATACACACGTATCAACTCATTTGTACATAAACAAATTCACAAGAAAAAAGCAGAAATTATTAAGACTAAGATACCTATAGAGAAGGGTGGGGAAAGACTGGAAAAAAGGGGGTAGGAGATGGGACTAGGATAGAAGGGATGGGGAAGAAGAACACTTTCCTGAGTATAAATTTTTGTATTATTTTTTACTGTTAGGAACATGTCAATTGTTTCACATAACACCAAAGTAAATTCGTTTCTCACAATGGTGGTATAGGCTAATGATTTTAAAACTCCCTTAATGTGTACACTAAGATGGGCAAATAAGAAAATCTATCATGATAATGAGAGCCAGGTTTCTCACTATCACAGAATAGAAGTAAATATCCCAAGTAAGAAAAGGGAGAAGACTACAATGATAATTTTGTGGTAGTAGACTGGAATTGGCGATAACATGAATTTGTTTTTACGTATAGCAAAGACACAGAACTAGGGGTATGTGTGTCTACATACATCATATATTTCCTAACTCTGTCCACTGAGAGGTACTAAACTAAATACAATAAAAGAAAATACAGCCGGGAGCAGTGGCTCACGCCTGTAATCTCACGCACTTTGGGAGGCCAAAGCAGGCGGATCACCTGAGGTTGGGAGTTCGAGACCAGCCTGACCAACATGCAGAAACCCCGTCTCTACTAAAAAAACAAAATTAGCCAGGCATAGTGGCGCATGCCTGTAATCCCAGCTACTCGGGAGGCTGAAGCAGGAGAATCACTTGAACCCGGGAGGTGGAGGTTGCAGTGAGCCGAGATCGCGCCATTGCACTCCAGCCTGGGCAACAAGGACAAAACTCCGGCTCAAAAAAAAAAAGAAAAAGAAAAAAGAAAATCCAGTAGCAAAGAGCATACCTAGTTTCCACATCTTCATTTCTAAATACCATTCTCTAATAAAAGGAGCCAGAACTCCTTGGAGAAATAGTTGATTCAAGGAGTGGAACAGAAAAAGGACACAATGAGTCTGGACTGCCTGGAGTCGCCAGAAAGTAAATAAGTACTTAAAAAACAATGAGGGCGGCTGGACGCGGTGGCTCACGCCTGTAATCCCAGCACTTTGGGAGGCCGAGGCGGGCGGATCACCAGGTCAGGAGATCGAGACCATCCGGGCTAACAGGTGTGAAACCCCGTCTCTACTGAAAAATGCAAAGAATTAGCCAGGCGTGGTGGCGGGTGCCTGTAGTCCCAGTCACTCGGGAGGCTGAGGCAGGAGAATGGCGTGAACCCAGGAGGCGGAGCTTGCAGTGAGCCAAGATGGCGCCACTGCACTCCAGCCTGGGCGACAGAGCAAAACTCCGTCTCAAAATAAATAAATAAATAAATAAACAAACAAACAATGAGGGCATGTACAAATGACTCAGGAACCAACTTGAAAGAGCTCCCAGTGGTCAAATCTGCAACAATTTGAGCAAGAAAATCATGACAGTTTTGGATTACAACCTACAGGATAAAATAAATGCCCATGAATCCATACTAATTGTATCAGAAAAACACATTTCCTTCTCTCACAGGGTCAACATAACAGAACATTTCTGACACCAGATCGCTGGGCGGGGTGACGGGGGGGTTCCCCACACCAAGCAATTCTACAACACCAGCTGGGTGTCCTACAAGCCAGTTCAATTCTGACACTATCTATGTGAAGACAGCATCAGATCCCAGTAACGGGCTCGGTCCTAAAAGACTGCCTCCAACACTGCAGGCACCCGTGCTTCTGACTGGCCAGCTATAAACTGGATGTTCCCACAATCCCCTCCTCAGGTTCAATCATTTGCTAAAGTAGCTCACAGAACTCCGGGAAACACTTTATTTATATTTATCAGTTTATTATAAAGGATATTACAAAGGATACAGATGAACAACCACATGGAAAAGATACATAGGGAGAGATCCAGAAGGGTCACGAGCACAGGTGATTCCATCCTAATGAAACATGAAAATGGATGTGTTCACCAACCCAGAAGCTCTCCAAACCCCCATAATTCAGGGATTTTTTTTTTGAGGCTTTTTATATAGGTATGACTGATTATTAGCTCTATCTCCAGTCCCTCTCCCCTGCCCAAGGATGTGAAGTGGAGCTGAAAGTTCCAAGCTTCTAATCATGGCTTGGTCTTTCTGGTGACCAGCCCCCATCCAGAAGCCTATCAAGAGTTGCCTCATTAGAACAAAAGATGTTCCTATCACCCAGGAAATTCCAAGGGATTAGGAGTTCCATGTCAGGCACTGGAATCAAAGACCAAATATTAGAACAAAAGATGCACCTAGCAACCCTACTGCTCAGGAAATTACAAGGGTTTTAGAAGCTCTGTGCCAAGAACCAGGGGACTGAGACCAAATATATTTTCACAATATCACACTAATATAAATAACTGAATAAATAAATGAGAGAGACAGGACAGCTCTACGTTAAGGTAGAAAGCTAATAATGCACACAGAAGGAATAATGGAACTAGAAAAATCGCTATTTGGCAAACAGCAAACATCACAGTAATAATTAACACAGGCAAAAACCATCAAGGAATGCTAAAATTTGTGGATAAAAGTATGATGAGAAACAGGATAATTGCACAGCCTCAAATATATATTGCAAGGGAAAAAACAGTAACTACAGTGAAAAAAAAACTAGCAGACAAAACCATAGCCAAGTGATCAACTGTAACATCACCTAGTATCCACATAATGTGCCTGCTGACAGGATGCCCTGAGAAGGGCATAATACCACTTCTGTGGTATTCTTGCCAAAAATGTATAACTTTAATCAAATCATGAGAAACAGCAAATAGAGCCAAACTGAGGAACGTTCTACAAATGACTGGCCAATAATCTTCAAAAATGTCCAGGTTATGAACAACAAAGAAAGACTACCAAAACATCTCAGATTAGAAAAGGCCGAGGAGATAACTAAATGCAAAATGGTATCCTGGACCAGAGAAAGGACTAATGGGGAAAACGGAGAAATTCAAATATGGTCTACAGATTAGTTAACAGTATTCTATCAACATTAATTCCTGGTTAGATAACTGTTCTATGGTTATACAAAATGTCAATATTTAGGGAAGCTGGGTGAAAGTTACACTAGAGCTATGTACAATTTTTGCAACTTTTTTTCCAAGTCTAAAATTACTGATATACTGTTTTCTCTACTTTTATGTAGCTGAAATTTCTTCATAAGGGGGCACAAGGAACTTCTAAAAAAATTAAAATATAGTCACTGATATTAAAACCTCAATTAACATGTTAAACTGCAAAGTTAGGCACAGCTGAAGAAAGAATTTTGTATCTAGATGGCAGGTACAAAAGAAAAAAAAAAACAGAAAGTGGCTCAGAGAAATAATGAGAGAGAAGATAAAAGAGCAAAATTAAGAGGAAAGGAACAGGGAATTAGAAAGGAACACATATCAAACAAGAGTTCCAAAGGAGACTAAGGAGAACGAAGGAAAATTAAGAAAAAAAAGGATAAGAATTCTCTAGAATTAACAAACGACAAAAATGCTTAGATTCTAGAAATATGAATCCTAACCAGGATAAATAAAAATATATCCACATCTAGACACAGGGTAGACAAAGCTGCAAAATACCAAAAATCAAGAGAAGCTTTTAAAAACCACAAAAATATTAAAAAAGATAAATGATAAATTACAATGCAATACAGACTTAATCGTACCAACAATTAAAGCCATACACCCTCAAAGGTCTGAGTGAAAATAACTAATCACGTAGAATTCTATACTCAACTAATTATCATTTCAAGAATGAGGGCAAAATAAATACATTTTTAGACAAAGACCAAGAGTTACTATTAACAGACGCTTATTGAAAGAAACACTGAAGGGCATACTTCAAACAAAAGGAAGCTGAATCCAAATGGATTAACTGGGATGCAAAAAGCAATGGTAAAATAAGAAATTGCTACACTGAGTAAACCTAAAAACATGAAACTTATTTTAAAAGGTCCTTTAAACAAAGCTACCATGTTCAATTTTTTAAAGTAATTCAACTCGTAAAAAAAACACAAAAAACAAAAAACAATGGCTTCAGTAAGATACCTTTCACAAAGAAAAAAAGCACCAAACACGGAATTCAAAAATTTCAACTAAGAATATAGCTCCCTCTCATTTATCTTGGTCAAAGGCCTTGGTTTCTTCACCCAAAGAAGGGAAGGAAGGCATTTAGCTAGAGGATCCTTAAGATTCCCTTCCAGTTCTAGGATTCAAGGGATAGAAAACAGACCTTCCCAATTTAACAGAACATCCTTCAAAACTGTAAGTTGTTTACACCAAGATCCTTCATACACAGGGACAGTGCTTTAAAGCAAGATCCAGTCTAAAGCTTTAGATTTTAAATAATTGGCTATCTGCTTCTATGCAAAAGCCAACTGGAAACGGATATGATCTCAGAAAAAGAACAAAGAAAATAATGCACTTTTAAACTGTTCCATTTTTAAAGAGCTGATGGAGGAAGGAAAGGCACGGTCCAAGTGGTAGGACAATGGAAACAGTACAAAACTCAATAAGCTTAAGTGAAAATTTCTAAAAGAAATATAGTATCAATATCAATTGTTACAAAAATAAAAACAGTCATATTTTATTCCTAGTTCACAAATTAGCTGACAAACCCCTCCTTCCAAAATCTTAAAGATTCATTGTAATTTCTGAAGAGTCATCAACTCTGGAATACATCGAAGGTAGACAAAATCCCCAAGTGCAGGCAGCCTATACTCATAAAGGTACCCTATTCTTTTTCTTTTTTTTTTTTCATCTCCAGCCATACAGAGGAAGGTATCCTTTTCTTTATAATCACCAAGTTTCAATCTTCTACTAAGGATGAATGAAAAGCTCAATGTTACAAGCAAAGAAAGCTTTTATTAAAAAGCAAAGCTATTAAAATACTGTGTTATGTAAAGGCATTCAGTTATACTACAACTACTCCCCTTCAAAATTCCTTCAATAAATGCTAGGAGATATGGAGCATAAAAAAGTAGACAATACAATTGAAACTTATTAATTTGAGACACGGTGATGGATATTACTTGATATGAAGAAACTAAAACTGGATGAGAGTTAAGATATTAAAAAAAAAAAAACCCTACATTAACATTTGAGAACACATGTACACACACACACACAAAGAGACACACACCACGAGTTTGTTGTTTCTTAATTTCCAAGACCCTGATTCATATGCCATTCAAGCTAAACCCATAATCCAGATTTCCCGAAAAGATCAGTGGTTCTTCTAACACATCACTCTTATTTTTTAGATAATGATCTCAAAAAACCTCATCTCCAAACATATGTGAATCTATATAATCTGCCTAAATGTAACTGGCTACATTTTCCACTTTCCATACAAAAAGAATCTTTTTATGGCCGGGCACAGTGGCTCACGCCTGTAATGCCAGCACTTTGGGAGGCCGAGGCGGGCAGATCATGAGGTCAGGAGATCGAGACCATCCTGGCTAACATGGCAAAACCCGTCTCTACTAAAAATACAAAAAATTAGCTAGGCAAAGTGGCAGGTGCCCGTAGTCCCAGCTACTCGGGAGGCTGAGGCAGGAAAATGGTGTGAACCCAGGAGGCGGAGCTTGCAGTGAGCCAAGATCGCGCCACTGCACTCCAGCCTGGGCAACAGAGTGAGACTCCATCTCAAAAATAAATAAATAAATAATAAATAAAAATACATACTTTTAAAATATAAATATCATTCAAAGCTGTTTAATATAAATTCACTTCAAATTGAATCATTAAAGTTTAACTTTATAAAAAAAATCTAAAATGATTTGGAATATGAAAGGATCCTAAACAAACAAACAAAACACCCTTAAACTTGACACAGGTCCTCAACATCACCAAGATTAGTACGGTTGCTTAGCATGGTAACTGTGGAATCAGACTGAGGGGCTCCAGCATTAGGAGCAGCCACATAGGAATCACCTCTACTCACTGTAACATAAGACAACTGTTTACTGTAACTCTGGTTGTTCATTTCTCTAACAATTTCATACACACATCTTCCCGTTGCTTAGTCTGAACTGTATACTGCTAGTCATTATCATAAGGAAAAAAAAATCTCAGACTAATATAATAGAGGCCAAATTTAGAGAGAGGAATAAAAATCTTCCTTCAGTCTAGGCTAAATGGACTGATTACACAAAGAACTCCATACATCCGAAAGCACACAGATGTCTGCACTAGTTCCCAGGGCTCAAACAATACCAGTCATTCAATAGCTTTCCCTTTACGTAAGTTGCTATGAGAGAGCTCAATCAGCTCTTGTGAACCTCATAATCCAGGATCCTGGAACTCTGAAAAGTCTACATTTTTCCTCAGCACTGTTTTCATGTACTTTGTCTGGAACTCAAACTTCGTATTTCCCCCAAAAAATAAATCTGGAAATCATCTCTTCTGTTTGACAAATGATGTACTCTACCTATAATTACTTTTCAACTAAAACCACAATCCACGATACAAATCTAAGATCATTAACACTGAAAGATCATCTGATGAATATATTTTTCAGTGTAGGAGTTTAAAATATAATTTTAAATACGCTCCATCATTTGTACATATATCAAATGTATATATACCATTTGACCAGATTCTATTTGTTTCCAGTTGAGTCGTTTTTAAAATAACCATGACACAAAATGACTTCTCAAAATTAAAAGAAATTTTGAGAGGACTGTTAAAGCTGGGGAGGGGGGTTGAATTTACCCGCTCTCTCTCCCCTACTCTCCCCTCCTCTGCCTCCCACATTAACCACACACATCAAAAATAATACAAAATATTTCACTGGGTGTTTGACCAAGCCTTTAGTCCACAGAAAGAGTTATTCTTCACTGAACCACCTTCAGAAGCTAAATAACACTACCTTCTACCTTCAAAGTAAATTGCTACTGATTCTTCCAATAATCTTTTTTATCAGCTAAGTCTTTGGTGAATTCTCACATTCAATAATGAGAAATAACAAGGATAAATTAAAGCCACAGAAACTCTAAAGTATTTTTTAATCAAATGGCGAAATTACTTCAGAAGATACTTATCAGACCTGCTACCCAGAAGTAAAGCTCATTAGTTTTGGGGAACAAAATGAAAATGATTAATTTACTCACTGAACTGTTAGATCCTGAAGAGTCAAGAGGAACTATATACATTCAGTTCCCTTTAATAATGTACTATCAGGTAATCATTAATCTCTTATAGAAATGATCAAGATCCCATTCCAAAATTTGGTAATGAAGCTCATAACAGCTCTTGTGCCCCTTCTAATTATTTTAACACTCTTCCTCTCTTCACATTCATGTTACATAATGCAAATAAACATGCTTTGAAGAAGAAAAAGTTGTCTCTCCCAAGTTTTCTGTCCTTAAACAGTAAAGATAAACCAAACCCCCTCTCTCCAACCAGAGTACAAAATGCAGAACTCTGAACATAATAACCATTTAACAGATATTTCATTAAATTTCAATCATCACCCTTACAGTGGTAAAATTGAACTTGTCAAGAAGAGGGGAAAAAAGAACTTTATCTTTTCACCACGGTATTCTTCCCTAATGACGACTACAAGCACCAAAATCCTATGTGTTCTACAAAGCAGTAACCTCAGAAACATTTCAACACCCTCTGAGCCTTACAAACTCTGTTAGCAAAACACAAACTCCGTTTCTCAAAAATATCTATAAAGTTCTCAACAACCAAATTCTTTGATAACTACAGTTACATCTGAGACCTCCTCCTCAGGACATCCAATCGTTTTTCCTACGATCAGAGCCACTACAATATTTCCTGGTGCTTTAAGAGCACCATCTTGCTTCAACAAACACGTTTTAATTTCACTCTAAAAAATACATATTTGTATTTCCAGACATCTCCCTCTAAAATTTCCCTATACTACTGCCCACATAATCCTTTACAGTCAAATCAGTCTTCTCATTTTTCTACAACATGGCATCCTGTTCAACCTCTGTAACCAGGCCTGATATCAAGATAAAGAAGCACATATAAACCTTTCTTCCATTCTCCCCAAGTTCTCATTTATTACATAAAAAGAATTCACTCCTTTCTATAAGTGAAATGAGTTTTAAAGCATTCTAATACAACTGAAAGCTAAAGAAAACAAAGTATTAAAATAGTACAGGTTATTTATCTTTGGATTTTAACCAAATATTAGTCATTTTAGGTTCATGTTCAGATAGTTATCTATACTTAGCCATGACAGACTAGCCATGACAATTTATTCAATAAAGAAATATCACAAAATGGTGTATACTAATAGTAGAAATGAGACATAGTAACAGAGAAGCAATGTGAGGATACAGTTCACACTCTGAAATGAGATTTACTCAGAGCTTTAAGTTTTCCTTCTCATTAGAAAATAAACCTTTATTGCAAATATATGTTTAGCTAACTAGAAATGAGTTATTTAATAATTTTTATTTTTCATTCAATACTGACATTAAATAACGCTTCAGAGTGTAACAAAAAAACACTAGTATCACAGTATCATTGTGTATATAATAAAAGGTATAAGATCTAGATTAGTCTATCTCATCTTGGGCTATCAAATACTTCTCATTTCATTCCTTCTTCTCTCTCTTTAAATTATCTTCTGATATCACAAAAAATAAATACAGAAGAAAACCCAAGAAATATAAACATGGCTATTAGAAACCCAAAACGATTTACAGAAACACTAAGAACACAACACACTGGGCACAGTGGCTCACACCTGTAATCCCAGCACTTGGGGAGGCCAAGGCAGAGCGATTGATCACTTAAGCCCAGGGGTTCAAGACCAGCCTGGGCAACACGGTGAAATTCTGTCTCTACAAAAAAAAATTTTTTTGAGACAAAGTCTCACTCTGTTGCTCAGGCTGGAGTGCAGTGGTGCGATCTCAGCTCACTGCAACCTCTGCCTCCTGGGTTCAAGTGATTTTCGTGCCTCAGCCACCCGTCTAGCTAGGATTACAGATGTGCGCCACTACGCCCAGCTAACAAAAAATTTTTTTTAGCTAGCCAGGTGTGGTAGCGCACACCTAAAGTCCCAGCTACTTGGGAGGCTGAAATGGGAGGATCACTTCAGCCTGGGAGGCTGACAGTGCAGTGAGCTTTGATTGCACCACTGCACTACAGCCTGAGTGACAAAGCAAAAACCCTGTCAAAAATAATAATAACACAACGTAACTTTCCACATTCAAGTCTACTCAACAAAGAAGCCCAAAGAATCTAAAATTCCTGTTTTCGATCTTTCTTTTCTCATAGGGGTCAGGGTGGTGTATGTCAGTGGAGAAAAACCGAAAGGAGGTATGATGATCTTCGTACACTGTACAAAAACTTACCCACTTGAAGGATCTAAGGCAATAGCTCTGGGTTGATCCAACTCTTGCCAAAATAAAACTTTTCGTAAAGATCCATCTAAATTAGAAACTTCAATCCGATTAGTTTCAGAATCTGTCCAGTACAATTTTTCTCCAAGCCAATCACATGCCAGCCCATCGGGGGACAATAATCCAGAAACAACAACATTCTGCACACTCTCAGTTTTGTTAAATTCTGTTCGTTTAATGGCTTCTTCGCTGACATCACTCCAGTATATCAAGCCATGACTAAACACAAAGTCCACCGCAGCTGCATCCTCCAAGCCTCCAACTACAATCGTAGCATTCTCTTTGCCATTTGTAGCATCAACCAATCGCAAGTCCCGTCTGTTTGCATAAAGCAACAAAGGGGCCGCTAGAACAAAAAAAGAAAAATATGTAAGTGAAAAGGAAGAAAACGTATTGGTTCTTATAAACTGCGTTTCAAATCGGTTTAAGTGAGCAAAGACTGTCGAAAATAAGAAAAGAATAAATAAATCATTAGGAGACCATCTAAACTTCACACACAAAATATTATTTTTGCAGCATTTAAAAAATAAGACATAGGAAATGGGGGGAACTATTTCCACCACGATAGTCTTTTCTTGTTAAAATAACTCAGATAAAATTTTAAAGCCTGGCTATACCAAGAATTGGCAATAATATGGAGCTACTGGAACACTCATACTCTACTGGGGTGAATGTAAAATGGTACAGCCACTTGGGAAAACAGTTTGGCAGTTTCCTAAAAGGTTAAACATACAACCTACTATACAATCCAAGGCAATAGCTAGATACTGTTTATTCCACATCTAGGTATTTACTCAAGAGAAACAAAAACATATGTCAATACAAAGACTTGTATGCAAATGCTCATACCAATTTATTTGTAATAACCCAAACTGGAATCAACCCAAATGTCATCAACAGGCTAATGGATAAAAAACTGTGATACTGCCATACAACAGAAAATAATGAACCCTTTGTACATGAAAAATGGGTGGATCTCAAAATAATTCAGAATGAAAGAAGCCAGGCCAAAACAAAGGTATATATTGCATGACTCTCATCTATATAAACTTTTACAAAAGGCAAACTTTTGTAAAAACACAAAGCAGATCAATGGCTGTCTCAAAATAGGGAAAGAAGGTGCAAAAGAATGAGGGGGAGGATTAAAAATGGGCATGAGCAAACTTTTGCAGGTGATGAGCTATATTATCAATAATGATGGTTTCGGAGGTGTAAACATGTCAAAACTTATTAAATTTTACACTTAACATAAGCAAAATTTATTGTCTATCAATTATACCTTAATAAAACTGTTACAGTTTGACAGAAATAGTTCTTAGTAAAGCTACTTTATTCTGTTCTATATTACTATTAAAATGACCTTTGAAAAGACCCGAAACTAAATATAAAGCCAATCTTACAGAAATAACATTTAACTTTGAGAAAGTTGAAGCTGTTGGGAGTGAGGTAGTATAAATTCCATGTTTTTTGGTTTTTATTAAATATCTATTCCAAGCTTCTGACATTTACTTTCCTAGTATCAAGCAACAATTAAAAATCTAGAGCACTACTGTCCTACAGAACTTTCTGTGATGATGGAAATGTCCTCTCCACTGCATAACACAGTACCACCAGTCACACGCAGCTATGGAGCGCTTAAAATGTGGCTAGTGTGACTACAAAATTAAATTTTTAATTTTATATAAACTTTTTTTTTTTTTTTTTTTTTTTGAGACAGAGTTTTGCTCTTGTTGCCCAGGCTGGAGTGCAATGGCACGATCTCAGCTCACTGCAGCCTCCGCCTCCCAGGTTCAAGCAATTCTCCTGCCTCAGCCTCCTGAGTAGTTGGGATTACAGGTGCCCACCACTATGGGTCCGGCTAATTTTTTGTATTTTTACTAGAGGTGGGGTTTCGCCATGTTGACCAGGCTGGTCTTGAACTCCTGGCCTCCGGTGATCCACCCGCCAGGGCCTCCCAAAGTGCTTGGGATTACAGGCGTGAGCCACTGCGCCCGGCCCCAATTTTATATAATCTTAATTCATTCCAATTTATATAGACAAGTGTGGCTAGTGGTAGTATTGGATAGCACACATCTAGAGGCTGGAATGCAGAACATAAATGAGGCAGCAAAAGTAAGACCAAGCCAGGCACGGTGGCTCACGCCTGTAATCCCAGCACTTTGGTTAAGCCCGGGAGTTCAAGACCAGCCTTGGCAACACATGGAAACCCCATCTCTACAAAAAAATTAATTTAAAAAAGTAGCCAGGCATAGTGGTGCACGCCTGTAGTCCTAGGTACTCAGGAGACTAAAATGGGAGGGTCACTTGAGCCCAGGAATTTAAGGCTGCAGTGAGCCTGGGTGACAGAGGGAGACCCTGTCTCAAAAAAAAAAAAAAGAGTGAGTTATGATACAATTATCTACATGATCTTCTTTCATAATTACTTACTAAGGGTCTACAACTGTGTCATCTGAAGCCAAGCCCAACTACCATTTAGAAGTAACGATTCCCCTTTTCAAGAAATTACTCCAATCTCAAAAAAGTGTAAGAAAAAAGTGATGTTTACACTATAGATTGTGTCTGTCAAATAGTTATAAATGTATACTATTTTCATCTATAAGTACAACATAAACTTCCCTAACTAAGCTTAAATCCAACTTTCTTAGTCAAAAACAAACTGGCAGACAGCTTTTTTAAAAAGTGGCTAACCAATCTTTCTGCTTATTCTGTGTATCTGCTGCAGCTATCAGCAAATTCATAAACTTCCCTAACAGAGTCACTTTTAATTCATTTCTGGCCTTCACACATCACACTGATTTATCAGTCCCCACAGAGCCCACTATACTGAGTCTCTCATACTATGGGCCAAATATAAACATCAGAAAAAAGGTCCCTACTAGTGAAGGATACAATGCTAAGTGCTGCATAAGGCTAAGGAATACCCACGAAACACTTAAAATTGAAAATTCAAGAGTGATAATCATCTAATATTTACTGGGCACCTTCTTTATGGCACTATCTTGGAAAACTATATCAAAGCTATAGGACATTAGGTGGCAGCCAAATGTCTTTCATTGCTTTCAAGTCAAACTTTAACACTTCTACGTGTACTGAATATTTTTGGTCTACAAAATCCAAAAACGCTTTCTGGTCAGTTAAGGCCTCACAAGCATTCTGAGTCTCTTCTCCCTCCTGAAAACGGGTGAAGGAGGCAAAGTTAATCTTTTTTAAGTTAGCAATACTGGTTACAATTGAGGATTTGTAAAGGACTGTACATAAATCTGCTGCACATAAACCACACTATTGAAAGGAAATCCCAGGGTTCATCCTGTCCAACCACCCTTCTGATGCTTGAATACTTTCTATTACATTGTCACCAGTATCTGTTCAGCAACATATTAAATGGGATATCTGATAGGTATAATTTGATTTGTAACATTGTTTTTATCTACCAAACAGATACACTGGAACCACATACTTGCTCCCTGGAACATGCCAGTATCTTCCATTCCAGAGAGCTTACTTTCTGACTGCCTAGTATTCAGATAACCCAAATAATCACCATCACTTCTCTTCAGTGGAACACTCACAGTGCTCAGGAATCCTTGTTTTCCTTTATTAAACTCCTGGGAAACTTTCTCTACCAGCCTTTCTAAGCCTTTTCTACTTTTAAAGACTAATTTCCATGCCCTGAATCCTTTATCCTCAGATCATCTCATAAAACAATCTCAGTGAAGCAGGATACAAGGTAAATGTCATACATCCCCAACATCTTAATTTATACCTCTCAAAATTTTCTCTCCACCCATCTTCCCTTACCTTGTCCTCAGTCTCAAATGAGAAGATGGCCTTCCTCCTAAGGCTAAAGCAATACTTTCGGTTCAGCCTCCTTACCTCCTCTCTACAACTTCGCTCTATCAATTGTTCTGTATTTCTCGTATTTTCAATGGTTTACGCCAGGTTCCTTGCTATTGTTTTGTTTTAATAACCCTAACCTTGCTACCATCAGAATAATAATTATATTTCTACTAACTGCAAAATCTTATAACATTGGTATATATACTTCACACTACCATTCATTAGCTATTACTCTTTTATCTAACTTCCTATCCATCACTCAACTGCAAGTGCTTCCTCTAAATCTTTATAACCAAATCCAGTGGTCTTTTCTCAGTCTTTACTCTTTTTTTTTTTTTTTTTTTTTTTTTTTTGAGATGGAGTCTGGCTCTGTCGCCCAGGCTGGAGTGCAGTGGTGCAATCTCGGCTCACTGCAAGGTCCGCCTCCCGGGTTCACGCCATTCTCCTGCCTCAGCCTCCCGAGTAGCTGGGACTACAGGCGCCCGCCACTACGCCCAGCTAATTTTTGTATTTTTAGTAGAGATGGGGTTTCACCGTGTTAGCCAGGATGGTCTCGATCTCCTGACCTCGTGATCCGCCCGCCTCGGCCTCCCAAAGTGCTGGGATTACAGGCTTGAGCCACTGCGCCCAGCCTCTCAGTCTTTATTCTTAACACCTCTAGAGCAGTCAATGCTGTTGACTATATCCCTACCTATATAGAATGTTCTCCTCATACAATACTACCTATTTTTTCTTGTCTTGTTTCAAACCTTCCACTTCCTATATATAGGTATCCTAAGACTCTCTGTTGTTCCAAATGACAGAGTATAAAAAATTAAAGTTCACAAGCAACAGCAACACAAGGTGGCAGCCACCACAGGCTCGGGGGTAAAAGTCCCTTGCAATTTCCCACTTTTGGAAGAACTCAAAGAAGGCCAGAAAGGAGTAGGAGATGGCAGTTAGCTGAGGTCTAGACAATGATAAAGACGTGACACTTACAAGACGTACAGGGATGATAATTGGGCCTGCAAGAACAATTTATGAAAACTGAATATACAGCCTTAAAATAAAATGTGGACCTAAATACCCAGAAGCACCCCCCTTTGTAAGATTTGTAACAAAAAATTAATATGAATGGAGTTAATAGTTCTAATGGATTGGTGGACCCAAGAGCCATATCAGTGCTAGCAAAATGGCAGAATTCACAGCACCAAAGTTGTCCTGCAAGAGCTTTGGCGCCTAATGGTGTCTAAAGAAAATATGAAACTCCCTCAGCCACCTCAAGGACAGTGTTACAGCAACTAATCGAAAAGAAAAACCACAACACAGTGTTACAGCAATTAATCGAAAAGAAAAACCACAGGCCCTTCCTCTTCCCCCTCATTCAATTTAAGCAGTCTTCATTTTCCACAGCAGCAAATTTTCTAGATATGTCTTGTAGACCTCAAAGTACTGGAAAGGAAGCTCCCATTCAAAGGAAATTTATCTTAAGATGCTGTAAAACTAATTTTTTGTCCATTTGAAATATATAAGTTGTGCTATAACAGAAGGAAGGAAGGAAGGAAGGAAGGAAGGAAGGAAGGAAGGAAGGAAGGAAGGAAGGAAGGAAATAAATTAATTAAAGTTCACCTGGTCAACAAGCAATTCTATGCAGCTAATTCCCAAAACATCATCTCTAGTTCTGTCCCTCTAACTTTTTGTTGGCCATCTCTACCTCCCGTTAAATTAAATTCATCACCTTTCCCCCAAAACAACAAAATCCCTCACCAGTCAATGGTACACAATTCTAACCTTACTGGCATGCCTTGGAGCCATCTTTGAGCCCCTCCCCTTTTCCCCTAGTCTGACAATTACTGTCTTGTTGACTCTTATTTTACAAGCATGTCTTTAAATCTGTCTCCTCTTCTCCATTTTTAAAACCACTATCCTACTCTAGACCTTCATGACTTTAGGCCTAAAATATCCTAATAGTAAGTTATCTCAATATTCTCCCCTTTCCTTTTCTACTTCTAATACTTTCAGTTTAGCCAACTCAAAAGCCATTCTGATTCCCCTTGCCTAAATTTACAAAATGCCTCAATACCTCAGCCTTCCACCATGACTTCTACCTAGGACTCTAAATTAATCTTTTATAGTCTCTGCATCATACAAACAGGTTTCAAAACATGTAAACTGGGAGTACATCACACCCATCATTGCAGAGTATTCATTTTCCTGCCTACTCCATACTTCTCTTTTTCTCCCAGCAAGCAAGTCCTTCAAGGCCAGAGTCAAACCTTACCTACTCTGTAACCCTTTCTAATTGACTCAGCTTTACTTCTTTTAATCCTTAGTCTTTAGTACTTACATGATATTAGCTTTTTTTTTTTTTAAGCATACTTCCTACCTCTAGGATCTCAGCCCTTGGAAACAAGAACCATACCTTATAACTAATTTTATCATCAATGCCTACTACAGTTCACTGCACACAGAAATATCATATACATATTTACTAATATTTTGGGGGTTTTGTTTTGAGACAAAGTCTCACTGTGTCACCCAGGCTGGAGTGCAGTGGCACAATCTCGGCTCACTGCAACCTCCGACTCCCTGGTTCAAGAGATTCTCCTGCCTCAGCTTCCCAAGTAGCTGGGACTACAGGCGCCCAACACCACACCCGGCTAATTTTTGTATTTTTAGTAGAGGCAGGTTTCACCATGTTGGCCAGGCTGGTCTCGAACTCCTAACTTCAAATGATCCACCCACCTCAGCCTCCCAATGTGCTGGGGTAACAGACGTGAGCCAACGCACCTGGCTTGATTTTTTTCTTCTTCTTCGTTTTTCGAGATGGGGTTTCGCTCTGTCACCCAGGCTGGAGTGCAGTGGTACAATCTGGGCTTAATGTAACCTTCACCTCCCAGGTTCAAGTGATTCTCCTGCCTCAGCCTCCCTCGTAGGTGGGATTACAGGCGCTCGCCACCACACCCAGCTAATTTTTTTGTATTTTTAGTAGAGACGTGGTTTTGCCATGTTAGCCAGGCTGGTCTTAAACTGCTGACCTCAAGTGATTCGCCCACCTCGGCCTCCGAAGTGCTGGGATTACAGGCGTGAGCCACCGTGCCCAGCCAAAGCCGGCTAAGATTTGACGGGTTTATTTGTAAGATGTTTTTAAGTGCTTATCAAATATTATAGTTACGTAAAACTAGATTTTAGTTTTCTCTGTTAAAATGACGGATTTTCTTCAGTTATTAGTTTGTCTTTTTGATTTTTGTTTTTTGAGATGGAGTCTCACTCTGTCACCCAGGCTGGAGAGCAGTGGTGGGATCTCAGCTCACTGCAAGCACCACCTCCCGGGTTCATGCCATTCTCCTGCCTCAGCCTCCCGAGTAGCTGGGACTACAGGTGCCCGCCACCACGCACGGCTAATTTTTTTTGCATTTTTTTTAGTAGAGACAGGGTTTCACCATGTTAGCCAGGATGGTCTCGATCTCCTGACCTTGTGATCCACCCACCTCGACCTCCCAAAGTGTTGGAATTACAGGCATGAGCCACGGTGCCCCGCCCATTAGTCTGCTTTTAATAAAGAAGTTATTAAAGGTTTTCCTTTGCCTTCTGAATAATCTCCACAGAAGGCAAAGATTGTGTCTTACCAGAATTTCCTGTGCTTAATGCTGACTTTATCATGTCCTTAATTACTTAAAACTGTATTCACACCCTTAAAAGGGTAAGGTTCTTCACCACTGCATTACCTCCCATGCTTACTTTTTTCAATATTTTTTTTAAGAGACAGGGTCTCACCCTGTTGTCCAGGCTGGAGTATAGTGGCACAATCATGGCTCATTGCAACGGCACAATCATAGCTCACTGCAGCTTCAAACTCCTGGGCTCAAACGATCCTCCTGCCTCAGCCTCCTGAGGAGCTAGAACTATAGGCATGAAATCTTTCGCCCAGCTAATTTCTGTAGAGACAGGATCCCACCACGTTGCCCAGGCTGGTCTCAAACTCCTGACCTCAAGTGATCCTCCCATCTTGGCCTCCCAAAGCACTGAGATTACAGGCATGGGCCACCGCACTGAACTAAAATCTTTTTTTTTTTCCGGTCACTTTTGGTTAAATATGTAGCCAAGTATTTTTTTCCACAGTGGCCCATGATCCTATTTAATCAAATGTTCAAACCTCCTAAATGATGCCTTTTGTACCAACAACTGTCTTTGAGATTTCCCCTAAGGGGCCCTAGAAAATCAAAATTCCCTTTACCTTGTAAAAGAGAGATGTTAAAAATAATAGTTTATTTGATCAAACGTTATGGGTCATATGGAAAGCACTGTCAAAGCCAGAGAGGCTTACCCTCCCTAAGTTTAAGTTAAATTTGTATAGGTAAAATGTTATTAATAGGGATATTTTGGAAGTTCTATGAAGGTATAAAGCTCCTAGAAATTCATCAATGCCCTCATTGTCCATGTCTATTAATCAGAGTTCTGGTGCTGCTTTGCCTGGTATTAGACAACAGTATAATGTCATCAGTCATAATTTCAGGGATTTTTTTTCCTCAATGTTAACTTGGTCATAATTTGGCTTCTTTAATCTTCTAGGTTGGCTAATGGTTCTCAGTTAAGAATTCACATCATTTACTTATGGAATGCTATTATATAGAAGTTAACGACCTACTCCAGACTGCTAAATCTTTTTCCTTGATAATCTTGATACATTCTTGATATACTCTATACATATATACATTCTTGATATACTCTTGACATATTCATGGTCCATTACATCTTAGGATTATATGTCTTTAGATTTTCTCTCTGCAATGAATATATTCATCTATATTCATAAATGACATGTACTAGCCACTCTTCTTTAAAATAAGGTTAATCGGCTGGGCGCAGTTGCTCACACCTTAATCCCAGCACTTTGGGGGGCTGATGCAGGTTGATCACCTGAGGTGAGGAGTTTGAGACCAGCCTGGCCAACATGGCGAAACCCTGTCTCTACCAAAAATATAAAAATTAGCAGGGCGTGGTGGCGCGTGCCTGTAATCCCAGCTACCCAGGAGGCTGAGGCAGGAGAATCACTGGAACCCAGAAGGCAGAGGTTGTGGTGGGCCAAGATCGCGCCACTGAACTCCAGCCTGGGCAACACAGCGAGACTCTGTCTCAAAAAATAATAATAAAATAAAGTTAATCATTACGCTTATAGATATGCTTTTGTCTAACACTTTTTTGGGTTGATTTTAGTTCGCATGCCACAAAAATCAAACTTCCTTGCCAATTTCATTATCTTTTCTAACAAAGTTTCATAAGATCTTTCACTTTTTTTCTTTTTTTTTATTATTATACTTTAAGTTCTAGGGTACATGTGCACAACGTGCAGGTTTGTTACATATGTATACATGTGCCATGTTGGTGTGCTGCACCCATTAACTGGTCATTTACATTAGGTGTATCTCCTAATGCTACCCCTCCCCCCTCCCCCCACCCCACAACAGGACCTGGTGTGTGATGTTCCCCTTCCTGTGTCCAAGTGTTCTCACTGTTTAATTTCCACCTATGAGTGAGACATGCGGTGTTTGGTTTTTCGTCCTTGCAATAGGAGATCTTTCACTTTTAAGATTATCAGTAATAGGTTAATCATCACCGTTTTAAGTATTTTGTCATCTACAGATAGTTTTCTGTTTTACTCTAATGCTTCCCTGAAAGCACTTGCAAATCAGCTACAGGCCAGAGTGCACTTGTCTTCAATAAAAAAGGGCTATGGGCCAGGTGTGGTGGCTCACGCCTCTAATCCCCACACTTTGGGAAGCTGAGGTGGGCATATCACTGGAGCCCAAGAGTTCGAGACCAGCCTGGGCAACTTGGCGAAACCCCTTCTCTACCAAAAAATACAAAATTAGCTGGGTATGGTCGCACACACCTGTGGTCGCAGCTACTAGGGAGGCTGAGATGGGAGGATCACTTGAGCCCAGGAGGTCAAGGCTGCAGTGAGCCAAGATTGTGCCATTGCACTCCAGCCTGGGTGACAGAGTGAGACTCTGTCTCAAAAAAAAAAAAAAAAAAAAAAGAAAGAAAGAAAAAGGAAAACTACTACGCCAGGTAACCTGAACACAAGCGTCTGATGGCATCACTTAAATAACTCTGAGACCACACCAGTGGACTGAGTCAAGATTTCCAAACAGCTAGTAGAAAAACAGATGGGTTCGTGAGACTGCTAACACAGATCCAGCAGAACAAGAATTAATTACATAGGACTGAATAAACTGATGAAGGATGATTATGGGTTTCGTTTAAAATATTGCTGATGCCTTAGCGTCCTATTTTCTGGATATAAGGAACCCCTTTCTCTTTTCTCTGAAGCTATCTATAACTCACAACAATTTAAGGAGACTATGTTTTTGTAAACCGAAATAAACACTTATCTTTTTCTCCCCCGTCTTACTCCTCCAGAATTCAAAAACTCTTATTATTTTTATTTTCATGGCAATATAGTTATCTGCAGAGGTTCAATGAGTCTGCCTTCTAGCTGGAAACATTACTTATGCAACCAAGGCTTTGACTGGAATGCCACATTTGAAAATATTCATTTAATCAGGTATGACCAAATACTTCTAAGTTACAGTTGACTTTATGAACCAACGCTTACAGTCCTCTTAGGAAAACTGGCCTGGTAACTGGCTTACAGAGTTCCCAGCCTTGCAGGTGAATTAAGCAAGATCACTTCCCGGCAGGCTCAAAAATCCTAGAATATTTTGGGAACTTCAAGACAGGAATTCACCCAAATTTATAGGTATTACAAGTGAAACCTGATGGTCAGTTCTTGACTTACCTTTATAGTCTCAAGAGGCATTTTAAAGTCCAATCAGATTCCTTAAAAAAACTTTCAGCAAGGCAATATTAAAAGACCTATTATATGATAAATTACTATTATTGCTACACCTATGTAAATAATCAGGCCCAATCTAATGAGATCAACTTCTCAATGACTCTTATTCCATTGTCAACAGTGACTGATTTTGTTTTAAACAACAGGGAGACTGACCAGTGCACATCACAATTGCCCATTACTTACTCATTGACTTGGCTTGAATAAACTTTAGTCAGGATTCTCTTCTCCCCACAAATTCCTAAACTTTGGCTTGCCCTAAGCTTAAGAAAGTAGATGCACAACTTCTTCCCTCATTCTGACCATTAGCTGACTGCAGAAAAAAAAAAAAATGCTTTCCAGTTAAATAGTCCTGGTCATGCAATCTGCTCACCCCTACCTATTTGGCCCACATTCCCACAAAGTTCCTGATAGCCCTGCTTACTTCTCCTTTCTATAAAAAAAAAAAAAGCCTTTTTCGGTTTGATTTTGAAGTGTGTTGCAGATCCTGTAGTAAGCATGTCCTTCTACTGCAAAAATCCTTTCAAATAAAGTCTCTCCTTACCTAAGTCTAGCTTTGTTTTTGCTTTTGGGTTTGGTCACTTTTTTTTTTTTTTTTTTTTTTGAGACAGAGTCTCACTCTGCCATCCAGGCTGGAGTGCAGTGGTGCGATCTCATCTCACTGCAACCTCCACCTCCCAGGTTCAAGCGATTCTCCCTCCTCAGCCTCTCAAGCAGCTGGGATTATAGGCACCACCATGCCTGGCTAATTTTTTTGGATTTTTTTTGTAGAGATGAGGTTTCACTGTGTTGTCCAGGCTGGTCTCAAACTCCTAAGCTCAAGCGATCCTCTGCCACGGCCTTCCAAAGTGCTGGGATTACAGGTGTGAGCCACTGCACCTTGGCCTCAGCTTTGTTTTTATTTACAGTATAAGTACTATGACAAACTACCTATTTGCAAATGCCAAATTTTACATTAATATGTATTTCCCTCTATCAAAGTCATCAGCATCTCTTTCAAAACCACAAGAAGGCCCAGGTAAAATAAGGTACATACAGAAAGTCCTGCACGTAAAATTACTGTCCAGAGTACAAACAATCTGGCTTTAGTCATTCATCTTTCTGATTTATAAAACGAAGGAGTTGGCCCAGGTAATTTCTAATACCTCTTCTATTTTCTTACTCTAGATATGAATTTAGTAAAAAGATTTAACTGCAACAGGACGATTGACAGGGCTATTCAGAAACACGAGATACTGGTAAACTATTTAGTGCTTCTCCAGCAGAAAAACAGGAACTTAAAATATTTTTTAGGCCAGGCGCGGTGGCTCATGCCTGTAATCCCAGCACTCTGGGAGGCAGAGGCGGGTGTATCACCGAGCCCAGGAGTTCAAGGCCAGCCTGAGCAACATGGTGAAACCCCATCTCTATAAAAAATACAAAAACTTAGTTGGAAGGATCACCGGAGCCTGGGAAGGTCCAGGCTGCAGTGAGCAATGATCGCGCCACTGCACTCCAGCCTGGGTGACAGAGACACCAGCTCAAAACAAACAAACAAACATAGGCCAGAGTGGTGGCTCATGCCTGTAATCCCAGCACTTTGGGAGCCAAGGCAGGCAGATCACTTGAGGTCAGGAGGTCAAGACCAGCCTGACCAACATAGCCAAACCCCCTCTCTACTAAAAATACAAAAATTAGCCAGCATGGTGGCACACGCCTGTAGTCCCAGCTACTCAGGAGGCTGAGGCATGAGAATCACTTGAACCCAGGAGGCAGAGGTTGCAGTGAGCAGAGATTGTGCCACTGCACTCCTCCTTGGGTGATGAAGCAAGACTCTGTTTCAAAAAAAACAGATTTTTTTAACGTATCAAAAGCTGAGATTCAGAAATAATTTCTCAAGGTAAAGACTCCAATAATCAAACCCACACTCATTTGAAAGTATTTAATATATCCATACAATGGATTACTCAGCCATTAAAAGGAATGAAGTACTGACACATGCAACATGAATGAACCCTGAAAATGCTAAGTGATAGAAGCTAGACACAAAAGGCCACATATTTTATTCCATTTATATGAAATATTCAGAGTAAGCAAATCCATAGAGACAGAAAGTAAATTCATGGTTACCAGAGGCTGAGGGAAGGGAGAAATGGGAAATGTATGGGTTTTGAGGGAGCAGGGGATGATAAGCGTTCTGGAATGAGATAGTGGTGATGTTTTACAACCCTGTGAGTATACTAAAAGCCACCGAACTAGACATTGTAAAATGGAGATTTTTACTGTATGTGAATTATAGCTCCAAAAAACTTGGTTTAAAAAAGTACTTGACAGGCCGGGTGCGGTGGCTCACGCCTGTAATCCCAGCACTTTGGGAGGCCGAGGCGGGTGGATCACGAGGTCAGGAGATCAGACCATCCTGGCTAACACGGTAAAACCCCGTCTCTACTAAAAAAATACAAAAAAAATTAGCTGGGCGTGGTGGTGGGCGCCTGTAGTCCCAGCTACTTGGGAAGCTGAGGCGGGAGAATGGCATGAATCTGGGAGGCGGAGCTTGCAGTGAGCCGAGATCACGCCACTGCACTCCAGCCTGGGCGACAGAGCAAGACTCCCTCTCAAGGAAAAAAAAAAAAAAAAGTACTTGATAGAAAGGGCTTAATGAAAAAAAAAAAAGAAAGAAAGAAAAAAGTACTTGAGGCCAGGCATGGTGGCTCATGCCTGTAATCGCAAGCACTTTGGGAAACCAAGGCAGGAGGATCACTTGAGCCCAGGAATTCGAGACCAGTCTGAGCAACATAGTAAGACCCTGTCTCTACAAAAAAAAAAAAAAAAAAAAAAAAAAAAAAATTAAAAATGAGCCGGGCGTGGTAGCACGTGCCTATAGTCCCAGCTACTCTGGAAGCTGAGGCAGGAGGATCGCCTGAGACCAGGAGGTCCAGGCTGCAGTGAGCCATGATAGCATCACACCACACTCCAGCCTAGGAAACACAGTGAGACCCTGTCTCAAAAAAAAAAAAAAAACTAATTATATCAGTGCAATAGTTATATCCTAAAACCAGAAAACACGTTACATAGTCCACACCTTGAATTCAATCTCAGATATGAATATGCTGATTTTTTAGTAGTCTATTTAACATATCTAATCTATGCTAAGAAATCTTTATTTATTTATTTTGAAAGACAGGGTTTTGTCTGTGATATGGAGTGCAGTGGCATGATCATGGCTCACTGTAGCCTTGAGTTCCTGGGCTCAAGTGATCCTCCTGCCTCAGCCTTCTAAGCAGCTGAAACTACAGGCATGTGCCATCGTGACCAGATAATTTTTTAATTTTTTATAGATGTTTCCCAGGCTGGTCTTGAACTCCTGACCTCAAGTGATCCTCTCGCCTTGGCCTCCTAAAGAGATGGGATTACAGGTGTGAGCCACCATGACCCAGACTAAGAAATCTTTGTAATCGTTACAAATTTATAATTTAACTATAGCTAATGAACGATTGAGTCAAAACACAAAATGGCATTCCAAATAAATGTCATAAAAATTCACATCTTTTTATATTACTTTAAATGTAAAATTTACAGTGCTCAATATGTGCAAACCTCTGGTACATGGTGCATATAAAGGGGAAAAAGGTCTACTCTTCAAAAACTTTTCATCAAAGAGCTATTTCTGCATTAGCATAAATCTAGAAGGTTACAAATAAAGACAATATAATGTGTAGCTAAGAATTCATGGTAATGAAGTTCACTCGTCACCTTTCTCAGACTTGCAAAACATAGTATCTTTAAACTGGATATATGGATATACAGTACTTAAATTATACGTACCAATAAAGCTAATCATTAGTGAGGAAGACTCCTATCCCTTGCAGTCCTTTACTTGTAGTTTGGGTCTTGTAGTGATAAAACAATGACTAAGACCATTAGAGAAAATAGCCTCCTGGTTAAACATACATAATTTGATAAAGGTAGGTTTCCAATATTTGGGTGACTATTTTCTTGGGAAAAAAAAAATGACAGCTGTGTGCAGCAGGCTCACGCCTGTAAGCCCAGCACTTTGGAAGGCCAAAGCGGGTGGACCACCTGAGGTCAGGAGTTCGAGACCAGCCTGGCCAACATGGTGAAACCCCATCTCTACTAAAAACACAAAAATTAGGTAGGCATGATAGTGGGCGCCTACTAATCCCAGCTACTTGGGAGGCTGAGACAGGAGAATCACTTGAACCCAGGAGGCAGATGTCACAGTGAGCCAAGATCATGGCACGGCACTCCAGCCTGGGTGACAGAGCGAGACTCCATCTCAAAAAAAAAAAAAAAAAAAGACTACTGCTGGTCATGTTATTTTTATTGAGAGTCTCATCAATAACTTTAGGCCTGGTGTTAATAACTTACATAACTTAATGTAGTTTTCTGCCTAAAAATATAATTTCATTTTGCATCCCCAATCTCCTCCTGAAATTAGTTCCAAAATATTTAAGCACTTATACAAGGTCCTTCCAAGCAAGATATTACAGAAACTACAAGTTATGATACCGCTAAAAGGATCACAGCATCAAAGTATCAATAATTTTCACCGAAGAGTCCAAGCACATTTTAAAAGTTTCTAGCCTCACACCCGAACAGCTTGAACCTTTAGTGAGAATACTCACTGCCGCAAACACGAACAGCTTGAGAAACAAAAGCATATGTTAATAATACCAAATAACCTTGTTTCCTTGCATTTATGTACTGACAAATTGTATTTTAAAATAAATAATTTTAAGAGCAAACAGCCTGTTCTTAGATTGCCTAGTCTGTATATTTGACTAAATTTCAAAGTTACTCATATAAAACAGTGTTTTATTCACTGAAGTGAGGCTTACTTTATAGAAGATAAACACCCTTATCCGAAGTGAAAACATGCAATGCAGAAACTCAGTATAGCATTCAGCCATCCTGCAGAAAGAAATCCACCAACTGAATAATTGTTGTAAACAAATAATGCAATTTCTCAATTAGATGTCTTGATAAAATTATTTTGCCCATGCTTAACTCTTTAATAAGTATCACAATCATTTGAACTGTCTGTTCTGTAGCTTATTTATAATAATCATCACCTAAAATAGTTATGGCTGCAATCCTTTAGAAATAAATTTAGGCCAGGCGCGGTGGTTCACGCCTGTAATCCCAGCACTTTGGGAGGCCGAGGCGGCTGGATCACCAGGTCAGGAGATGGAGACCAACCTGGCTAACATGGTGAAACCCCGTCTCCACTAAAATACAAAAAAAATTAGCCGGGCGTGTTGGCGGGGCCTGCAGTCCCAGCTACTCGGGAGGCTGAGGCAGGAGAATGGCGTGAACCCGGGGGGCGGAGCTTGCAGTGAGCCGAGATTACGCCACTGCACTCCAGCCTGGGCGACTGAGCAAGACTCCGTCTCAAAAAAAAAAAAAAGAAAAAAAATTTAGTGTCATTCCGTTTTATATCAAACAAAACAGAAATTTCCATAAGTAAAAGTATTTTATGGAGCTTTTATTCCAGTTGCAGAAGAATCAAAAAAAATTCCAAAACCACTGGCCTAAAACTATCAACTGCCAAAAACAGTGCCCAGGACATAGCGACACTTAAAATGTTTTACCAGTCTTTCCAGAGTATAATGTTTCTTTTAATTCGGCCATCTTAATAATAGCAACCATTTATTCAATGTCTACTATTGACTGTGCGTTCTACTACCCCTTTACAAACATTTCGTCAGTTCTCACAGAAGTCTTGCAAGTTATATCCCCACCTAACAGGAAAGGAAATAACTTGTCCAAAGGAACACAAAGCGGCAGAAGAGTTTAACTTGGCCTGTTTAACAACAAGCCATGTCTTTCTGCTATAGTACCTTCCATATAATCTTCTCTAAATGTAAACTTTCAATAGAATTTCTACGATGAAAATAATCTTTCTCAGAGTAGTTACCCATGGCCTAAATAGCACTAAACATTATTTTTCCAGTATGCGCAAAATATTTAAACAAAAAATATACGTTCTCATAAAATATTTTCCATTAATATATCCCTTCCCAGAATCTCCTTTGATATTTAAAACAGTCCTTTCTGACAGCCAAAGCATATATAAGGACACAGTAGTTCAGTACAGCAAATGGAAAAACTTCCAATTAAAGCAAAGAAAAAAATCTCTTAAAAATTGAATCATGGCCGGGCGCGGTGGCTCACGCCTGTAATCCCAACAGTTTGGGAGGCCGAGGCGGGCGGATCACGAGATCAGGAGATCGAGACCATCCTGGCTAACACGGTGAAACCCCATCTCTACTAAAAATACAAAAAATTAATCGGGCGTGGTGGCGGGCGCCTATAGGCTGAGGCAGGAGAATGGCGTGAACCCGGGAGGCGGAGCTTGTAGTGAGCTGAGATCACGCCGCTGCACTCCAGCCTGGGCGACAGAGCAAGACTCCGTCTCAAAAAAAAAAAAAAAAATTGAACCACAGGAAATCACTATTAGCCCTTCTGATAATAACAAGCTAAAACCTTAAAATTTAATAACCAGACAAATTATTGTTTAGCCAAATGAGCAAACCTGAAGCCAGGTAAGTAAACAGGAATGACAGTATCAAATTAACTATATGAAACTGTCATCAAATATCAATGTAATACTTGACAAGTTTGGAAAATAATAGGTTAAACAAAGTTAAAACCGGTCTCTTTACCTCAGGACTTTTCAGAACCCTTAATGTGTTAACATGAATTCTAATCTCCAAATAAAGTGTACAGAGATCACTCAAGGTTACACAGCAAATTTAGAACCATAACTTAATTCTCCTGATTGCCACTCCAAAATTTGTTCTACTTCCCCAAGACTTTATAACACCTGATTTTAAAGGAAGAAAGGATCGCTTCTACAGAAATACAAGATGCAAAACATTAGTGGTTTGTTCCAACAATATTTACCAGCCCACCAAAACAAAAAAAAGTAACGAAGAATTTTTATATAACAAGCCTCCTCAAAAAAAGCTAAAAAGGCCAGGCGCGGTGGCTCACGCCTGTAATCCCAACACTTTGGGAGGCAGAGGTGGGTGGATCACCTGAGGTCAGGAGTTCGAGACCAGCCTGACCAATATGGTGAAACCCCATCTCTACTAAAAATACAAAAATTAGGCCGGGCACAGTGGCTCACACCTGTAATCCCAGCACTTTGGGAGGTCAAGGCAGGTGGATAACTTGAGGTCAGGAGTTCAAGATCATCCTGACCAATATGGTGAAAGCCCGTCTCTACTAAAAATATAAAAATTATCCGGGCATGGTGGTGTGAGCCTGTGGTCCCAGCTACTCAGGAGGCTGAAACAGGAGAATTGCTTGAACCCAGGAGGGAGAGGTTGCAGTGAGCTGAGATCATGCCACTGCACTCCAGCCTGGGCGACAGGGTGAGATACCGTCTCAAAAACCAAAAAAATACAAAAATACAAAAATAAGTCAGGCATGGTGGCAGGCACCTGTAGTCTCAGCTACTCAGGAGGCTGAGACAGGAGAATCGCTTGAACCAAGGAGGCAGAGATTGCAGTGAGCCAAGATCGCGGCACTGCACTTCAGCCTGAGCGACAGAGCGAGACTCCGTCTCAAAAAAAAAAAAAAAAGCAAGCTAAGAAATAGTATTTCACAGATTACACACACCGATGGTATTCCAAAACCTATATTCTTATCAAAAATACTTCCAGCAGAAGATCAGATATTATTTTTTCTCATCAGTATCCGAATGGAACTAAGAAAATGGTAAGGATGGCAACCTAAACTGTGAGGCCCGTTAGATTAGGAAACACATTGTTTTACTCACCATCAGTACCAGAGGCTGACATATAGGAGGTATTCCATACATATTTGCTAAAAGAATGAATAATAAATCCCTGCCCCATCTTTAATTAACCTACCTTTATTAAATTACAGTATCTCTGAATCTGAGTTTCCCCACTTACAAATAAACTGGTGAGGCTCAAACGACCAAGATCCCTTTCACTTTTAAGAATGTGTGAATCTGGGCCAGGCGTGGTGGCTCACACCTGTAATCCCAGCACTTTGGGAGGCCGAGATGGGCAGATCACCTGAGGTCGGGAGTTCGAGACCAGCCTGACCAACAAGGAGAAACCCCATCTCTACTAAAAATACAAAAAAAAAAAAAAAATTAGCTGGGCATGGTGGTGCATGCCTGTAATTCCAGCTACTCAGGAGGTTGAGGTAGGAGTATCGCTTGAACCCGGGAGGCGGAGGTTGCAGTGAGCCGAGATCATGCCATTGCACTCTAGCCTGAGCAACAAGAGCGAAACTCTGTCTTTAAAAAAAAAAAAAGAATGTGTGAATCTGGCCGGGCGTGGTGGCTCACGCCTGTAATTCCAGGACTTTGGGAGGCCGAGGTGGGCGGATCACGAGGTCAGGAGATGGAGACCATCCTGGCTAACACAGTGAAACCCCGTCTCTACTAAAAAATACAAAAAAATGAGTCCCAGCTACTCAGGAGGCTGAGGCAGGAGAAAGGCGTGAACCCGGCAGGCAGAGCTTGCAGTGAGCGGAGATCACACCAATGCACTCCAGCCTGGGCAACAGAGCAAGAATCCGTCTCAAAAAAAAAAAAAAGAATGTGTGAATCTGCACCTGTAATCCCAGAACTCCGAGAGGCGGAGGTGGGAGGATCACTTGAGCCCAGGAGTTTAAGACCATCCTGGGCAACATAGCAAAACTCTGGCTCTATAAAAATTAGCCAAGTGTTATGGCACACAACTGTGGTCCCAGCTACTTGGGAGGCTGAGGTGGGAAGATCACATGAACACAGGAGGTCCAGGCTGCAGTGAGCAGCGATCATGCCACTGCACTCCAGCCTAGGCAACAGAGCAAGACCCTACCTCCAAAAAAAAAATAGGAATTCGTGAACCTGGCCAAGCATGGTGGCTCACACCTGTAACCTGTAATCCCAGCACTTTGAGAGGATCACTTGAGGCCAGGAGTTGGAGACCAGCCTGGGCAACATATCAAGACACCCCCACACCAACCCCATATCTACAAAAAATTGGGGGCATAGTGGCACGTGCCTATAGTTCAGAGCTTTGGGAGGATGAAGCAGGAGGATCACTTAAGCCCAAGACTTTGAGACTGCAATGAGCTGTGATTACACCACTGCACCCCAGACTGAGTGATGAAGCAAGACTTTGTCTCTTTAAAAAAAAAAAAATTGTGAACGTTATACAAATTAAATCTCAAATCATGAAAGCATTTGAGGATATGTCCCTGAACAAGCAAAAATTATAGCAAAAAGTAACATTAACAAGGTACTCCATATTATTTCATTTAAAACACCCAATAACCCTGCAAACTAGTCAGGTATCATTATCCACACTACCAGTAAAGAAACTGAGACCTAGAGAAGCGGACTAGACCAGAACCACAAAGTTATGAAGTTGTGACACTTGGGCTTTAAATCCAAGATTTTAGTATTGAAATTCCCAAATCTTTCCTTTATACCTTGTCATGTGATGATAGAGATAGGGACACAGCACTAACAGTATTCCCTGGCTTTCTGCTACTAATTCAACAGGGCTACAGGACAGAAGGTCTCCCAGACTCTCACATACCCCATCACACCCAGCCAATGTTAAAGCCCCAATTCTTTGTGGGGGAAAAAAATGACCTAAATGCAACAAATCAATCAGATTTTTCTCCTTGGAGTCCAAGGTTGACTAAATATCTTTACTATAACAGAGGATGACATTCTCAAAGAATGAATTAATTCTAAATTATGAACAAAAATATTTTACATCAAAAGACAGTTTTACTTCAAATAATATGTACTCACAGCTAAGTACAGTACTGTTACATATTAGAAGACCACCTTACACCATATTTCGCCACATTTAAAACGAGAGCTCCACTTCTGAAAACTTTGCTAGTGGAAACGAGACAATTTAAACTATTACCTCTTCCAGGTCTTGTTACATAAATAAGTGCAACCTATCTAAATTCCAATAATGAACAAACCCAGCTCTGGTCTCAAAGCTGGTGTTAAACAAACGGCATTTACATCACACGCTTCTCCTCCAAGAAATACAACTAGACAACCAGAAACATCCCAAGTTATAAGTTTTCCCACGACTCTAACCAATCAGCTGGTTCTCATATTTGTCAGCCCTATTAACCTTATGTCTTAAAATACATACATATTCTTATGTCAAATATAGTTGTTTCTAACAGCTACAGCAAAACCCCTTTCAATAGAGTATGCCAATAATAAAATAAGTATATACTTATGAAACCTCTCCAGTACGTAACACTTCATTAAAATTTCTGCCACAAAAATCTAATGAACACTACCTTTCCGGGGTTTACATGTGGGAAAACTTTGTAATATGCTTAGAGTATCAAGTAATATAACATGCAAACACAATGCTGCATTACTACAGAGTAACTGAAGAAAGTATTTCTCCTCCTCCAAAAAAAAACTCAATCATTCTCATCCGAAATACATATACACAGTACACGCAAAAATATACACCTGTCACAGACTATTAGTTACTATTAGTGTTCTGTAAACTTAAATTAGTTTGGAGAACTTAACAAAAGTTTAGCTTGTTAACACCTAAAAATCTCCAGCGACCAGCGGTCACATGCCTGAAAAGAACTTACTATGAACGCCAGTAAGAACTTTACCAAACCAAAACTACAAGCCACCGTATCGAGCAGTACTTAAATTCCTCTGCTGGTAAATGCTCCACAGCCATCACAGCCATCTCAAGTTCAACACTAAATAGTTTGAGAAGAGCTGCCGACGGGCCAGTCAAAAATCTTTGTGAACTGTCACAAAAGTCACAGAGCATGTGTCAGCTTTGCAGTCCAATTCAAAACATCATAGTGCCATCGAATTCAAGCGATTCCCAGAGCAAATTATCTCGAACAGCCTATGCAATTTACCAAAGTGCCAAGCAGTCCCCAGGGGTGCAGAGCAAATTATCATTTTGGTCCCAGGACCGGCTCCTCTTCACACGAGGATGAATTTCCCTACTTAGTGCCAACTGTACACTTGCATACTCCGAAAATAGGGGCAAGCCGTGAATACCAGAGGTTACAAGGGCAATGTTTTATTTTATTATGGGCTGAAGCTCAGAAGGCTCCCAATGCTGAAACGCTCGACCTATAACCCCGGAGTCACTTTCCAACTGCGCTCTCACCCAGGGTCATTATATCCCAAACGGAAGCCAATCATTACCTGTAACAAGGCCTGGAAAAAATAGCAAGAGGGCTTTAAAAGTTCACCTAAGAAACACCGAAACGGGGTGGGGAGTGGGTGGCGGGGCTTCGATGGATAAGGCCAACCTTAAAGCATCTCGGACTCAAACATTTTAAAAGCCAAAATACGTACAAAGACCCTTTTCCCTGGAAGACCCCAGGCAGAGAGAGGCACACAGACACTCAGTCATCCCGACAGCATGGGGTGCCAAGGGTTCCCTAAGACCAGCAGCCGGGATCGAAGCTCCGATGTGTCCGGGGAAGGTCTGGGAAGCCAGGCCAGGTCCGCATTGTGGCCGGGCGGTGCACGCAGCCCCTGCTCCCGGGCCCCTTTCTCTCCCCCTCCCCACGACCAGGCCTCTCCCCGCTCCTCTCCCCTTCTCCCTTCCTCCGTCCCTCCCCTCCCCCTAGACACATACAACAAGGCCACCTCCCCCCGAACCCCACCAACTTTCCAGTGCCCCCACTCTTCCCACCTCTCAGGAGCACACAGAAGCTGCAGGCCAGGAGGCTCCTCAGGACGGCCCCCATCTTCCCTTCTCGCGTTCTCTTCTCTCACCGGCGAGGGGTGGCCAGAAGTGGGGGAGGCGAGGAGCCGGGGCGGCCGCCGCAGCGGCAGGGCTGCACGCTCATACTTCCCAGCTTCCCAGCGAGAGAAGAAAGAAAGGGGCACGTCAAGGTTCCGCGCGCGCCGCCGCCGCCCTCTCTACCGCGCCGCTCGGCCCCGGGCTCGCGCGACGCCAGCGTCTGCTTCCATCCCGCCGCCTCCTCCCCCGGCGCCCCGCTTCCCCCGCGCAGCTCCTCATTCAGCCTCTGCCTCGCGCAGCGGCGCAGGGATACGGTCGGCACCGCCTCCTAGGGTCGCCGCGACCGTGTCCCTGCGCGCAACGAGCCCCTTCTCCCGGTACTGCCTCCTGTACGGCCAGGGAAGGGAGTCGGCAACCGCACGCACAGCCTCTGCCTGAGACCCTGGGAGAGGTTCTGGGCTAGCAGAGGCGAACTGGGAGGGAAAGCCTCCTCCCGGTGGCGCATTCCAGCGGGATTCTTTCCCGGACCGGCCGCTTCGGCCCTCCCCGCGGAGGGCGTGAGGCGGCGTTGAACAACATTGGAGCCGGCGTGGTCGGGACTACTTTCTGCGGCTCGGCCGGGCAGCCGTCTGCCCCGCTCTTTGTGCGGCCGCCGCCGGCAGGGCCAGGTGGGGCTCCGGTCTCGCGCCCCCAGCCACCTGAGACTGCCCAGCCGCGGTGCACGCGCGGGGAGCCACGGCGGATCCCGTTGCGGGGTGATGAGCTCCGTCTTCGGGGTTGGAAATCGGTTTCAGCATCCTTTTTTTGGGAGGGCGGAATTTTTGAACGCTGTTTACACCGGCTTTCAGCGTGGATCTGGTGAACGATATTAAAACGCCAATTCAAAACTGAGATTGTCATTTTTCTCCCGCCTTCCCAGAAATACAAACTGCCCCCAGAATTAAGCCCGACCAGCTAAAGATTTCTAAACTGGCAGATAAAATTCCAAGATAAATGCCTCAAAACCTAAGAGCAAAGGGACAATTGGACAAGACTATTTAGGATTTTACAAGTTGCATATAATAACGAATGTTTGGCATGCTTCGATTATCAATTCTCAGCTTGAGAAGGAAAAGATTCCCTAGAATCTCAGACTGTGCACAGCCTCTGCTACTCCCAGTGCATTGGGCATTCAGGAGTAATGGCCCAGACGCCCCCTGAAATCACCTGCCAGGCTTTCGTCTGGGCAGAGGCGCTCCAACAGTTAACCCTAATGGAGCCATCAGATGCATCCTGCCCAGCTGTCACACGCCCTTACCTGGAGGCAGATGGGCAAGAAAGTGGAGCTGCTACCACAATGTTAACAAGTACCTCAGTGACATTGGAGTTCACTAGTGCTTGAACACAAGTTATCATATTTGACACTCAAAACTACCCTGGGGAAAGGCAGGTTTTGTTACTTATTCTTTATTGCACAGAGGAGCAAAATGAGAACCTGAGAGGTTAATGACTTACCCAGGGCCACTCAAGTAATGAATAGCAGTACCTCAGCCCAATCCAGGTCTCTGACTTAAGCCACTCCGCTCCTTCCAAGAAATGCGCGCTGAACCAAAGGTGCTGCAGGTTTGTAAGTAGATGGACAGCAGAAACAGCCAAATCACTTTCTCCCAAATTCACCTGAGGTCTAGTCACCGTTTATTTAAATGACCTGCTTCTAAGAACCAAGTGAGTTTTGTATTCTGGCTTCCTCAAAGCAGGAAACTGGGCCGGGGGCGGGTGGCTCAGGCCTGTAATCCCAGCACTTTGGGAGGCCGAGGCGGACAGATCACGAGGTCAGGAGTTCGAGACCAGCCTGGTCCAACATGGTGAAACCCCCGTCTCTACTAAAAATACAAAAAAAATTAGCCGGGCATGGTGGCACACGCCTGTCATCCCAGCTGCTCAGGAGGCAGAGGCAGGAGAATGGCTTGAATCCAGGAGGCGCAGGTTGCAGTGAGCCGATATCGCGTCATTACACTCCAGCCTGGGCAACAGAGCAAGATTGCGTCTCAGAAAAAAAAAAAAAAAGAAAAGAAAGTTAACCTTCACTTTCACAGGCCCCTTCCAATGTCTGGGGAGGGGCCTTTATGGTATGTTCACATGGTCCTATTTGCAAAACAAAGATAATTTTGAATTCCTCTTCTGTATAATTGTATTATACAAAATTGTATAAGCTTCAAGTCCCACAAAGCCTGGATCTGTCCCTATTTATAATAGAAAATGCGGTACAACTGGCCGGGCACGGTGGCTCACGGCTGTAATCCCAGCACTTTGGGAGGCCGAGGCAGGCGGATCACGAGGTCAGGAGATCGAGACCATCTTGGCTAACACGGTGAAACCCCGTCTCTACTAAAAATACAAAAAATTAGCCGGGCGCGGTGGCGGGCGCCTGTAATCCCAGCTACTCAGGAGGCTGAAGCAGGAGAATGGCGTGAACCCGGGAGGCGGAGCTTGCAGTGAGCCTAGATAGCGCCACTGCAGTCCAGCCTGGGCGAAAGAGCGAGACTCCGTCTCGAAAAAAATAAAATAAAATAAAAAAGAAAATGCGGTACAACCTAAATCTCCTCAGACTATCAACCTAAGTAGGGGAATGAGATATTACACACTGCTGAAAAATAATAATTTAGAGGATTATGCAACAGTGTTGAATGTTTATAGTGAGTTAAGCTTTTTTTTTTTTTTTTTTTTTTTTTGAGACGGAGTTGTGCTCTTGCTGCCTGGACTGGAGTAAAATGGCACAATCCCGGCTCACCACAACTTCCTCCTCCCAGGTTCAAGTGATTGTCCTGCCTCATCCTCCTGAGTAGCTGGGATTACAGGCATGCGCCACCACACCCAGCTAATTTTGTATCTTTAGTAGAGACGGGCTTTCTCCATGTTGGTCAGGCTGGTCTCGAACTACCGACCTCAAGTGATCCGCTCTCCTTGGCCTCCCAAAGGGCTGGGATTACAGGCGTAAGCCACCGCGCCCGGCCGAGTTAAGCTTTTAAAAAGTGAAAGTGCATGTACATTTGATTATAGCTATGTAAAATAAAAATATATATAATATACAAACATAAATGCACACACATATATATAGCACATATTTGAGCAAAGACCAAAAGTAAGTGCACTAAAATAGGCATTAGGATGGTGAAATAATATGAGATGTAGTTTGCTTTTCTGTTCTTCAATTTTGTTTAATGTACTATATATTTACTACAAATTTTTAAAAGATGCTTAAGTGAAAATCTATAGGTTAAGCTTAAGCCCTAGAGAGAATGCCATTATTACTGCATAACTAATTTTGTTTCTCATTCTTTTAAGTGCCAATCAGATACCAATCACTCTGTTAAGTGTTGGGGATATAAAGATGAGAGTAATCATAGTCCCTACCCTCAAGAAGCTTACAGCCTAGTTTGGAAACACTGATTAATAAAGTGAGTAATTAAAATATTAAAATCTGCAGGGCACAGTGGCATACAACTGTAATCCCAGCACTTTGGGAAGTCAAAGTGGGCAGATCACTTGAGCCCAGGAGCTCGAGACCAGCCTGGGCAACATGGCGAAACCCCATCTCTACAAAAAATACAAAAATTAGCTAGACATGGTGGCGTGTACCTGGAGTCCTAGCTATTCGGGAGGCTAAGGTTGGAGGATCACTTGAGCCTAGGAGGCCAATGCTGCAGTGAGCTGTGATCTTGCCACTGCACTCCAGCCTGGGCAATACAGTGAGACCCTGTCTCCAACTAAAAAAAAAAAAAAGACAAAATTGCTAAGTGTAGAGATGCTTTTCTGCCTAGACAATTCAAAGAAGGGAAAAAAGGGCCAGGCGCAGTGGCTCACAACTTTAATCCCAGCTACTCACGAGGCTGAGGCACAGGAATCACTTGAACCCAGGAGGCGAAGGTTGCAGTGAGCCGAGATTGCGCCCCTGAACTCCAGACTGGGCAACAGAGTGAAACTCTGTCTCAAAAAAACAAAACAAAACAAAACAAAAGAAGGGAAAATAACCCTAGCGCTGAGGTTGGAAATACAAATCAGACTTTGCCAGGCCAACAAGACTGAAAAAAAATTTCAATCACAATAGTAGGTTTAAAGACACTGAATCATTAGAGAACTTAGTATGTTGGGGATTTGAAAGTAGATTCATATAGCTGATGCATGGAATGCTTTTAGAGAATGTCAGGAATTGAGGCAGGACCATTAAATAGCTATTGATTAATAAAAACCTTTTCAAGCCATGCTAAGAAGTTTAGATTTTAGCATATTAACAATGCGGACATTGAAGAATTTTGCACATTGTACAGAAGTCTATGAAAGGGGCAATCAGGACAGCAGCGCTGAGGACTGAAAAGACATCATGGATTTAAAGAATACGAGATTAAAACAGGACTTTTAGTTGTGAATTGAGAGAGAAACAGAGAGTAATGGGAGTCTCCTTTACAAAGAAAAGAAAACCTAAGAAGTATTTCAAGAAGGAGTGGGTAATAAGTTTAACAATGGCTCTTTTGTATTGGAGGTGTCTATGAAACATCCAGGTGGAGGCCGGGCGCGGTGGCTCACGCCTGTAATCCCAGCACTCTAGGAGGCCGAGGTGGATGGATCATCTGAGGCCGGGAGTCCGAAACCGGCACGGCTAACATGGTGAAACCCCATCTCTACTAAAAACAGAAAAATTAGCCAGGCATGGTAACACGTGCCTGTAATCCGAGCTACTCAGGAGGCTGAGACAGGAGAATTGCTTGAACCCGGGAGGCGGAGGTTGCAGTGAGCCAAGATCACGCCATTGCCACCCAGCCTGGGTAACAGAGTGCGACTCTGTCTGAAAAAAAAAAAAAAAAAAAAAAAGGCCGGGCGCGGTGGCTCACGCCTGTAATCCCAGCACTTTGGGAGGCCGAGGTGGGCGGATCACGAGGTCAGGAGGCCCAGACCATCCTGGCTAACACGGTGAAACCCCGTCTCTACTAAAAATACAGAAAATTAGCCGGGCATGGTGGTGGGCGCCTGTAGTCCCAGCTACTCGGGAGAATGAGGCAGGACAATGGCATGAACCTGGGAGGCGGAGGTTGCAGTGAGCCGAGATTACACCACTGCACACTCCAGCCTGGGCAACAGAGTAAGACTCTGTCTCAAAAAAAAAAAAAAAAAAAACACTTATTGAAATTGCTACCACTGGCCGGGCACGGTGGCTCACTCCTGTAATCCCAGCACTTTGGGAAGCCGAGGCAGACGGATCACGAGGTCGAGAAATCGAGACCACCCTGGCCAACATCGTGAAACCCCGTCTCTACTAAAAATACAAAAAAAAAATTAGCCGGTCATGGTGGCAGGCGCCTGTAATCCCAGCTACTTGGGAGGCTGAGGCAGGAGAATCGCTTGAACCCGGGAGGCAGAGGTTGCAGTGAGCCGAGATCGCGCCATTGCACTCCAGCCTGGGCAAAAAGAGTGAAACTCTGTCTCAAAAAAAAAAAAGAAAGAAAGAAATTGCTACCACTAAAGAAGGTATGATTAGTAATGGCAAATGCAGTGTTAACTGTTAACAACAGAGAGTCTGCTGTGAGAAGTGCTGAAAAGAGGGCATTGTGACTATAACTTTCTCGAACGTCATTGATGGGAACATACATTATGCCAGTGTTTTAGAAAATCAGTCTGGGAGTAAAATACATACACCTTTAAACTGAAACGCTGGCCGGGCGCGGTGGCTCACGCCTGTAATCCCAGCACTTTGGGAGGCTGAGGCAGACAGATCACCTGAGGTCTGGAGTTTGAGACTAGCCTGGGCAACATGGTGAAACCCCTGTCCCTACTAAAAATACAAAAATTAGCTGGGTGTGGTGGCAGGCACCTGTAATCCCAGCTACTTGGGAGGCTGAGGCAGGAGAATCGCTTGAACCCCGGAGGTGGAGGTTGCAGTGAGCCGAGATGGCGCCACTGCTTTCCAGCCTGGCAACAGAGTGAGACTCCATCTCAAAAAAAAAAAAAAGCCTACAAAAATGACAGTTTTCCTGGTTCAACCTAATCAAAAGAACCTGAAGCCTGCTTTTTAAAAAAAATCACAGATAAAGTGCACAAAATAGTCATTGGTGACTTTAAGCCAAAGCAGTTTCAGCAGAGGTATGAGATCCAAAGCAAAAGTGCAGTGAATTGAGAAATGAAGGGGAAACAGGGAGGGAGGGCAGTGGTTTTTCCCAAATCTTATTGTTAAAGGAAAGAGAACACTTGGGTGGCTGGAAAGGAATGTGAGGCTGGAGGAATCTGGGAGTTGACTTAGTTAGGGTTGATTGCTTACTTTGTTTTTAAGTTTGAGAGGAATGTGATCATATTTGTAACCTGAAGTAAGTGATCAAATAAAGAAGGAGAGTGAGGAAAGTGATTCAGAGACTTCAAGAGGATCTGGAGCCTAGCAGAATGGATCAGCCTTGGATGGGAGGAGGAGCAGGAGGATTTCCACTTCTGGAGGAGAGGAGAGTCAGTGTGGCTGCTTGACCTTCAGCTCTCCTTTCTCCACTCCCACTTTCACAGACTCCTTCCAGAGGCCTTGGGAGGGACCATGGCAATGATTAGGATGGTCATATGTTTTTATACTACTTGCAAAACCAAGATTGTTTTAGTATTCATTTTCTTTAAAATATCTCCTTCTCCAGTTGTATATGCTCAGCACTACAAAACCTGAATCTGCCCCTAGTAGCTATAAATAGGTTTCATGGGGAAGGGATAGTGGAGACAAGATTTGATTGCCTTCATTTACATAAAAACAGAAAGCAAAGTCTACATTGAGAGTGAAGTAAGAAAGAATATGGTGGTCGGGGAGGAGGTCAGGAAAGTGACAAAGGTTTGGAGAAGCTGGGAATGGAAGAGGGAGTTGACAAAGGACACATTATAGGATCCTCTAACAGCACAGAGGATGCTGCTATAACTCCCTACCAGAAATGTGGTGTATATCATGAAGAGTGGCCTTCTTGCCTCTATTTTTCTTTTTTCTTTTTTGAGACAGAGTCTCTCTCTGTCACCAGGCTGGAATGCAGTGGTGTGACCTCGGCTCACTCCAACCTCCACCTCCAGGGTTCAAGCAATTCTTATGTCTCAGCCTCCCAAGTAGCTGGGATTACAAGCGCGTGCCACCATGCCTGGCTAATGTCTTTCTTTCTTCCTTTTTTTATTTTTATTTTTTTATTATTATTTTTTTAATAGTAGAGATGGGGTTTCACCATGCTGGCTAGGCTGGTCACGAACTCCTGGCCTCATGATCTGCCCACCTCGGCCTCCCAAAGTGCTGGGATTACAGGCATGAGCCACCGTGCCCTGCCTTCTTTCTTTTTCTTTTCTTTTCTTTTCTTTCTTTTTTTTTGACAGTCTTGCTCTGTCGCCCAGACTGGAGTGCAGTGGTGCTATGTCAGCTCACTGCAAGCTCCTCTTCCCCAGTTCACGCCTACTGCCTCAGCCTCCCGAGTAGCTGGGACTACAGGCGCCTGCCACCACGCCTGGCTAATTATTTGTATTTTTAGTAGAGACAAGGTTTCACCGTGTTAGCCAGGATGGTCTCAATCTCCTGACCTCGTGATCCGCCTGCCTCGGCCTCCCAAAGTGCTGAGACTACAGGTGTGAGCCACCGCACCCGGCTTTTTTTTTTTTTTTTTTGTATTTTTAGTAGGGGCAGGGTTACGCCATGTTGGCTAGGCTGGTCTCAAACTCCTAGCCTCAAGTGATCCAGACTTGAGGGACAAGTGTTCCAGACTCCCAAAGTGCTGGGATTACAGGCATGAGCCACTGCGCCTGGCCCATCTATTTTTCCCTCCTTCAATGGGAATAACACTTGTTCCTAGCTGCACCATGAAAATATCACATCAGATGCCTAAGAAGAATTCACTATAATTAGAAAATAAGTATACTTTGGGGCCAGGCATGGTGGCTCACGCCAGTAATCCCAGCACTTTGGGAGGCCGAGGTGGGCAGATCACCTGAGGTCCGGAGTTCAAGACCAGCCTGATCAACATGGAGAAACCCCGTCTCTACTAAAAATACAAAATTAGCCAGGAGTGGTAGCACATGCCTGTAGTCCCAGCTTCTCGGGAGGCTGAGACAGGAGAATCGCTTGAACCCGGCAGGCAGAGGTTGCGGTGAGCCGAAATCACTCCATTGCACTCCAGCCTGGGCAACAAGAGCAAAACCTCGTCTCAAAAAAAAAAAGAAAAAGGAAAAGAAAGAAAAGAAAAGAAGTAACTTTGTTTTCAATAATATTTTTCTTTTTTCAACATCAGCTATATAAACCCCCTGTAAAGTCTATTAAAACATGAAAAATAAATTAAACGCTATACATTAAATTTCTTACGTTTGTCCCAAACAGGATGAAAGGATATCTGCAATAGAGGGTAACCTGGAAAAGGGAAGCGGAGCCAGAGAAAACAGAGGAGGGAGTCCATTCAGGGGAGAGGATGATGGCGGTGTTAGAATATTGGTTACATCCAGCCTGGCATGGTGGCTCATGCCTGTAATCCTAGCACTTTGGGAGTCCGAAGTGGGTGGATCACAAGGTCAAGAGGTCAAGATCTGCCTGGCCAAGATGGTGAAACCCCGTCTCTACTAAAAACTACAGAAATTAGCTGGGTGTGGTAGTAGGTGCCTGTAATCTCAGCTACTCAGGAGGCTGAGGCAGTAGAATCACTGGAACCCGGGAGGCAGAGGTTGCAGTAAGCCGAGATTGCACCACTGCACTCCAGCCTGGGTGACAGAGTGAGACTCCATCTCAAAAAAAAAAAAAAAACCAAAAAAAAAAAAGAATATTGGTTACATCGAGAAGGATTAATCTACTAAGTAAATATATTAAAGATAATGGAATCAGAGTTTCTAACTATCAGAGAAGGAAGTTACAAATACAACAAAGATACCTTGGTGCCAATGGCAATGAAAATGGTGGAGTAAGAAACTCTAAGGGTAGGGAACTCTCTTCCTTTGCAGAAACACTGAAAAAACTGGCAAAAGTCATGAGAAACAACTTTATTAGAACTCTAGAAGATAGTCAAAGGTTTACAGCAACCAAGCTAATGCTTAATAAGGATAATGGGCACTGAATCATGGTAGGAGAGGTTTGTCGTGTTTTACCTTACCCTTGTCCAATCCCCCTGCCCAGTGCAGCAGCAGTCTAGAAGACAGCAGCCCATGCTCTCAGTGCAGGTTCTCAGTTTGGGAGGTGTGTTAGGCCATTCTTGCGCTGCTGTGAAGAAATACCTGAGACTGGGTAATTTACAAGAAAAGAGGTTTAATTGGCTCATAGTTCTGCAGGCTGTACAGAAAGCATGGCACCAGGATCTGCTTCTGGGGAGGCCTCAGGAAATGTTTACTCATCACCGAAGGCGAAGCAGGAGCATGCACGTCACGTGGTGAGAACAGGAGAAAGAGAGAGAGTGAGGGCAGGTGCCACACACTTTCAAACAACCAGATCACATGCGAACCCAGAGCAAGAGCATCACCAAGGGGATGGTCCAAGCCATTCATGAGGAATCTGCCCCCAAGATCCAAACACCTCCCACCCAGCCCCAACTCCAACATTGGGGATTACATTTCAGCATGAGATTTGGGTGGGAACAAATATCCAAACTATATCAGAAGGGAATGGAGGGAATCTTGTTCCTGAGAAATTGTGTTCATAGGTTTTAATCTGTTTGGGGGATCCCCAAGGGGACTAATGCAGGGTACTTGCCTTTGTTCCACTTACCTCAAAACTCTCTCAGGATAGAAAAGTTGCTTTGTGGAAGAGGTTTCTCAAAAACATTGGACAGCCAATGAATAAAGCCCAGATGCCTAGAGCAAAAGATAACAGCTGTGGCAAAAAAAATACACTTGTAGAAAGCCTGAGAAGAAAAACTTGGGGATTGATATACTTGCGGAATAAAGGCTCTGAAAAGCCCCTGGTTATGTAGGGGAATCAAAAAGGCCCAGGCCAGGATACATCCTCAGAAAAGGTCTGAGAACACCATAGGCTTCACCTCTGGTTGATTTTTAGGCTTAGCACAAGTAAGAAGTGAAGGCTAAGGCAGAGTTATAAATGGTGTGGCTAGTCAGCCGGGTGCAGTGGCTCACACCTGTAATCCCAGCACTTTGAGAGGCCAAGGCAGGCAGATCATGAGGTCAGGAGATCCAGACCATCCTGTCCACTATGGTGAAACCCTGTCTCTACTAAAAAATACGAAAATTAGCCAGGTGTGGTGGCATGCACCTCTAGTCCCAGCTACTCAGGAGGCTGAGGCAGGAGAATTGCTTGAACCCAGGAGGTAGAAGTTGTAGTGAGCCGAGATCGCGCCACTGCACTCCAGCCTGGGCAACGGAGTGAGACTCTGTCTCAAAAATAAATAAATAAATGGTGTGGCTGAGCATTGAAGTATTGGCACCAACACAGAGCCAATTTGCAAAGACCTGATGGTACTTTTTCTTTTTTGCCTCTAGGAGTTTAAGAAAATCTTTGATAAACCATTAGCTGACTACTATGCTAAAAAAACAGAGACCACACAATTCAAAGAACCGTATAAAATAGTTTAGAAAAGTCACTAAACAAACAACCACAACCTACAGAGAGCAACAAAAAATCCTGGAATGGGGAGAATTTTATTTCCAGAGTTACCGCATTGTTATATTCAAAATGACCACTTTTCAACAAAAAATTATGAGGCATGCAAAAAACAATGAAGTGTGCCCTGTTCATAGGAAAAAAAAATTAACAAAAACAGTCCTTGAGAAAGCATAGGCATTGGACTTACTAGACAAAGACTTCAAATCAACTCTCTTAAATATGCTCAAAGAACTAAATGTAGCTGGCCAGGTGCAGTGGCTCATGCCTGTAATCCCAGCACATTGGGAGGCCAAGGCAGATGGTTCACCTGAGGTCAGGAGTTCAAGACCAGCTTCACCAATATGGTGAAATCCCATCTCTACTGAAAATACAAAAATTAGCCAGGTGTGGTGGCATGTGCCTGTAGTCCCAGCTACTCGGGAGGCTGAGACAGAAGAATTGCTTGAACCTGGGAGGCAAAGGTTGTACTGAGCCGAGATCGTGCCACTGCACTCCAGCCTGGGCAACAGACTGAGACTCTGTCTCAAAAAAAAAAAAACAAAAAAACTAAAGGAAGCCATCATGGACAAAGAACCAAAGGAGAACAGTGTCTCAACAAGTAGAAAATATCAATAAAGGCAGAAAAATTATTTAAAGGAACCAAATAGAAATTCTGGAGCTAAAAAGTGTAATAAACTGAAAGAAAAAATTCGCTAGACACATTCAACAGCAGATTTAAGCAGTCAGAAATATCAGAAAACTGAAGATAAGTCAATTGAAATCATCCAGTCTGAGAAGCAGAAAGAAAAAAGAATGAAGAAAAATGAACAGACACTAAGAGAATTGTAGGATACCATCAAGTATATCAATATATGCATAACAGGAATCCCAGAGGGAGAGGAGGGATAGAAAGGAGGAGAAAGAATACTTGAAAAAAATAACTTAAAAACTTCCTAAATTTTTTTTTTGAGACAGAGTCTCACTCTGTCACTCTGTCACTCGAGCTAGAGTATAGTGGCATGAACTTAGCTCACTGCAACCTCCACCTTCCAGGTTCAAGCTATTCTCATTCCTCAGCCTCCTGAGTAGCTGGGATTACAAGTGCGTGCTACCACTCCTGGCTAATTTTTGTATTTTTAATAGAGACAGGGTTTCACCATATTGGCCAGGCTGGTCTCGAACTCCTGACCTCAAGTGATCTGCCCGCCTCGGTCTCCCAAATTGCTGGGGTTACAGGTGTGAGTCACTGCGCCTGGTCAACTTCCTAAATTTAACAAAATAAATGAACATCTCAACAGATACACAGGAATTACAAATAAAGAAACAGAGAAAACTAGAATGACCCTGTGATGCCATATTAATAGGATATATTCATATAAATTCACGATTTTCAATATATATGGATAGGTATAGAAATAAATATAGTTGTAAGTGTGTATATGAATATGTGCATGTATTTGTGTACACATGAATGCACAGATCCTAGCTCTGTCTACCAAGAAAATGTGTTAGTTAAGGCCTACTAATAAGCAGGCACCGAGACAGAATTCAATGTGCAAGAGATTTATTGGGGGAGTGTGATAGCCTCCAGCATGGTCCCTAATGATTCTCACCTCTTGGTAGTCACATCCCTGTGAAATCCCCTCCCACACTGAGTAGGACTGACCTATTACTGCAGTGACAGCATGAGACTTTCAGGCTAAACAATAAAAGACATAGTAGTGTCTGTGTTGTTCTATTGAAACAGTCACTGTAGGGGGAGAATCAGCTGCCATGGCATGAGATACTCAAGATGCCCTATGGAGTCGTCCATGTAGTAAGGAACTGAGACCTCCTTCCAACAACCAAGTGAGTCATCTTGGAAGTAGATCCTTGAGGCCGAAGCCAAGCCACCATATGACTATGCTTTGGCTGACATCTTCACAGCAACATCATGAGAGATTTCAAGCCAGTGAAGCTGCTCCAGAATTTCTGACCTATAGAAACTGTGAGATAATAAACACAATCGACCCTTGAAAAACGTGGAGGTTAGAAGTGCTGACCTCCACTCAGTTGAAAATCCATGTATAGCTTTTTTTGTTTTGAGACAGAGTCTCACTCTGTCACCCAGGTTGGAGTGCAGCGGTGCAATCTCGGCTCACTGCAATCTCAGCCTCCTGAGTTCAAGCGATTCTCCTGCCTCAGCCTCCTGAGTAGCTGAGATTACAGGCATGTGCCACCACACCCAGCTAATTTTGGTGTTGTTGTTGTTGTTTTTGAGACAGATTCTCACTCTGTCGCCAGGCTGGAGTACAGTAGCGTGATCTCGGCTCACTGCCACCTCTGCCTCCTGGGTTCAAGTGATTCTCCTGCCTCAGCCTCTGGAATAGCTGGGACTACAGGTGCGCACCACCACGCGCAGATAATTTTTGTATTTTTAGTAGAGATGGGGTTTCACCATGTTGGTCAGGATGGTCTCTATCTCTTGAGCTCGTGATCCCCCCACCTTGGCCTCCCAAAATGCTGGGATTATAGGCGTGAGCCACTGCGCCCAGCCCTAATTTTTGTATTTTTTAAAAGTAGAAACAGGGTTTTGCCATGTTGGCCAGGCTAGTCTTGAACTCCTGACCTCAGGTGATTCACCCTCCTCAGCCTCCCAAAGTGCTAGGATTATAGGCCTGAGCCACCGTATCAGCCCATGTATAACTTTTGACTCCTCCAAAACTTAATTACTAATAGCCTATTGTCAACCAGAAGGCTTACTGGTAACATAGTTGATTTACACATATTGTTTGTTATATTTATTATATATACTGTATTCTTACACTAAAGTAAGCTAGAAAAAAGAAAATGTAATTTTATTTTTCATGAAAATCTTAAGGATGAGAAAATACATTTACAGTACTATACAGTACAGTACTGTACTGTGCTTATCGATATTGCAAAATTACATAAAGATGGATACTTTGAAGTAATGGGTAATGGTATGCAGACCTCAATCTACAGTACATACCAAGCAATTCCACTTTTTTCTTGTAAGGTCATGACTTTTTTCTGCTTCTTGGGAGCACTTCCAGCATCACTAGTGGCACTTTGCATGGGTTCCAGGATGTTATTCAAGGGTTTATGGTATTGCACTAAATGCGATAAAAAACGTGCAAGATCCACGAGAAATCACTTTTCACTGTGAAATGCCATTTACTGGAAAGATCAGCTGCTCACACAGAGATGAGTAGCATCCCACTGGGTTTTAAGCAGATACTCACAATACTTGATCTCATCACAATAGCAATAGGAGGTGGCTGTGAAATTATAACAGTAGTACAGTATATACAACAGTTAATTTTATGCAGTTATGATTTCATATTGCATCTTTACATTTGTTTACATTTATCTAGACGAAAATGAAGCCATGTATGGTCTGTATTTGTGTGTGTAAGTTTTGATAAATTTCAATTTTTTGGAATAGATTTGTGTATAATTTATGGTAGTAAATGACAAAAATAGACTAGTATCTACATATATTTTGTGCATTCATGACATACCTAACTTTTTCTTAATTTTTTTGCTATTTCTAGGGTATATGGTTTATCTTCAAGTTTTTTCAAATTGTTGCCAATCTCCAAAAAAATTCCAATATATTTACTGAAAAAAGTTCATGTATAAGTGGACCCACTCAGTTCAAACCTGTGTTGTTCAAGGGCAAATTGTACTTATTTTAAGCCACTACATTTTGGGGGTAATTGTTACACAGTAATAGGTAAGTAATACCAGTAGAAAGTAAGAGAAGGAAGAGAGATTCCTCACGCTGAGATGCAGATCTGACATTTCTAGAAGGAGAGAAGAATGAAGGATTGGAGTAGGACAAGTCTTGGACTACTGCATTGTTCCAAGAATGAATTTACCAAGCAGATTGGGAGTCCCAAGCCAAAGTTGTCCCCTAGAGGATTCCTGTATTTTGCCAGAACAGACCTACCTTAGTACCCCTGCTGGGCTCAGGCACTGACTGGGAATAACCCTTTAAAAGTTGGCCTCAGTGTGAATAGGGTGATAGATTTAGGAGGCAGTAGTTGGGGCTATCTGTCAATTATGCTCCCCACAGCAGGAGAACTGAGTGACACATTTCATAGCTATCACAGCAGGCCTGGAAGAGATGACAGCCCAATAGCAATGAGCAGAGCTAGTGTCAAGATGTTAGCTTCTTTTTTTTTTTTTCAGACAGAGTTTCGCTCTGGTTGCCCAGGCTGGAGTGCAATAGTGAGATCTCAGCTCATTGCAACCTCCGCCTCCCGAGTTCAAGCGATTCTCCTGCCTCAGCCTTTCGAGTAGCTGGGATTACAGGCCCCCACCACCATGCCCAGCTAATTTTTTGTATTTTTAGTAGAGATGGAGTTTCACTATGTTGGCCAGGCTGGTCTCAAACTCCTGACCTCAGGAGATCCACCCACCTCAGCCTCCCAAAGTGCTGGGATTACAGGCATGAGCCATCATGCCAGGCTCAAGATCTTAGCTTATAAATAATATTTTCCTTGAAAAGGAACCAGGGCTCCTTAGAGAAATGGCTGATCCCACATCTGAGGCAGGAAAAGTATAAGATGAGTCTGGAACAGCTGGTAGTGACAGAGCAAGGAAGGGCTCAAGAAATGACAGAAACATGTGAAAAGGACATAGATGCCAGCTTGAAGGGACTTCCACTGGTCAAATCAGGAACAATTTGAGCATCAAAATTAAAAATGGCAGTAAGAGATTATAACCCATTGAATAAAATAAGGAATTATGGGTTCAAACAGACATAAAGACATATACATACATACATACATACATACACACACACACATCAAAAGTTTGATGAGGAATGGGATATTTACGTGGTTCATGGTGGACAGATACTGCCCAGATCAAAGAACCAAAGTCAAAATCATTAGTAATAGGACAAATTGAAATTATGTGCTACCTGATAGGATATAAGAAGAAAGCAGTTATCACTTCTATGGTATTCCTCTAAAAGGTGTATAACCTGAATGTAATCATATGAAAACACCAGTAAACCCCAAATTAAGGGACAAGTTACAAAATAACCGACCTGTTTTCTTCAAATGTATCAAGGTCATGAACGTCAAGGAAAGACTGGGGAATTGTTCCAGGCTGAAGCAGACTAGACAGACATAAAGACTCAGAACAATGTGTGATTCTGAACTGGATCCTATTGCTACAGAACATTTTATTGAGACAATTGACAAAACTTGAGTGAGATCTGAGGATTAGGTAGTGATCATGTATCAATGTTAATTTTCTAATTTTGATGGTTGCACTGTGATTACGTAGGAGAAGGTCTTTATTTGTAGGAAACAATACTAAAAATATTTGGGGTGGTGGAGCACCAAGTCCTCACTCTCAAATGGTCAAGGACAAAAAGTCCTTTGCACTGCACTTAACTTTTTTATTCAACTTTGCAAATGTTTCAAAATAAAAAAATAAAAGTATGCATGCTATTTGAAAGATAAACCTGTTATAAATATAAGGTTTTATCATTTAAATCCGGAGAGCTCTTTAACATCTTTAACTTGATGAGTAGCTACCCTCTTTCTTTTCTACCCGTCCAAGCTTACTTTAATTCATTCACAAGACTGAATGGAATCTCAACATTTAAATACTTAATCTCTTTCTTTAATCTTTGGCACCAAGGAACTGGATTTCCCCAGTTGTATGAGTCACCCGATAACAAATTTCCCAGCTTAAATAGTTTTAAAGTTGTACTATTAGTAAGGCAACACTGTTCATTGTGTCTCAGATTCAAGGATTTATAGTAACAATGTGTTTTAGCATGCATATTCTTTTTCAACATATACGTTTTTCTTTGATGCCGTAAAAAGTCTTTCTGATGTTGAACAGTTTTAATGCAGTTATGCCATGATGGAACCACCCCTCTCCTCACTCCCAGAAAATCACACAGCTTGATATGTTTTTAGCCTTCATCTGAATTGTAAAACACTGAATTCTTACAGTTTTCTAAAAGAAAAAGAAAAAAACTTGCCATTGCTATTTTGGGAGCATTTGTCCAGATAAATAAAACACGGTCCTGATCCCACCCTGCCTGTCCTCGCATTTCTGAGAGTGAAGATACAGAACACTGCAGTCAGGGGAGAAAACATATTTTTTTTTCCTTCCCTGTCAGAATCTGTTCCATTGGGAGGTGAAGTATATGAACCCAATTTTTGCCTTGGAGATAAAGAGAAAAAAATCAATTCTACCAAGATTTACTTTATGTGAAAGCACTTAAGCAGATTCCCTAGACATGTGTTTCTGAAGGGTTGCACCCTCCAGCCATCTGACTTTTGGCCAAGTCCAGAGACATTTTAGGTTGTCAGAACTACGGGGTGGGAGATGCTACTGGCATCTTGTGGGTAGAGGGCAGGGATGTTGCTAAGCATCCTACAACATACTAGACGGTCCCCACAAGCGAGTTGGCCAAGTGCGATGGCTCATGCCTGTAATCCTAGTGCTTTGGGAGGTGGACATGGGAGGATCTCTCGAGCCCAGGGGTTTGAGACCAGGCCAACAAACAGTGAGATCTCATCTCTACAAAAAAATAAAAAATTAGCTGGGTGTGGTGGTGCATGCAGGTTGTCCCAGCTATTCAGGAAGCTGAGGCAGGAGGATCACTTGAGCCCAGGAGGTCAAGGCTGCAGTGAGCTATGATCGCACCACTGCACTCCAGCCTGGGTGACAGAGCAAGACTCTGTCTCTAAAAAAAACACAAAGGCCTAGCTCAGTGGCTCACCTCTGTAATCCCAGCACTTTGGGAGGCTGAGCCAGCAGGATCACTTGAGCTCAGGAGTTAAAACCAAGCTGGGCAAGACCTCGTCTCTACAAAAAAGAAAAAAAAAAAAAAAAAAAAAAAGGCCAGGCGCAGTGGCTCACAGCTGTAATCCCAGCACTTTGGGAGCCTGAGGCGGGTGGATTCCTTGACCCCAGGAGGTCAGCTGCAGTGAGCTGTGATTGTGCCATTGCACTCTAGCCTGGGCGACAGGAATGAGACCTTGTCTCAAAAAAAAAAAAAAAAAAAAAAAAAAAAAAAAGCTGTTAGTGCCAAGGCTGAGAAACCCTGTCCAAGATTAATGCAGAGTACAGAGAAGAAAGAAGACCTCAGGAGGAGGGGGGAAACACCAAGAAATACAAACACAAAATTAAAAGAAAAAAAAAAACCTAATAAACAGTGAATTTCACACCAATTTATAAAGATACAGGATTTTAGGGATTAACATTCCTATTTGGTGGCCTTTCAGGATATTGCTAAGAGGACTTTAAGGTCATTTTGAGTTTTTCTACTACTACATTTTTATCAATTCTTTCACCAAGCATTTCTTGAGCACCTACTGTGTGCCAGAGGCTGAGGACACAAAGATGTGAGCTTTTCTCTTCCCTGGGGGAGCTGGGAGATTTTAGTGGTGGAAATACCTATAAATGAAGAATTGGAATTCCAAGGACAAGAGGTAAAGGGCAAGAAAAAGAGTTCTTCTCTATACCAAGCACTCCTGCTTACCTCCAGTCATCTTCATTCCGCTCTCACCAGTGAGTGTTATTCCCTTTTCACAAAAGAAGAAACTGTGAGATTAATAACAAGAGCAGACAAGCAAGTGTCGGGCCCTGTTCTCAATGTTTTAATTAATTTATTTATTTTTAAATTGTTGTTGTTGTTGTTGTTGTTTTGAGACCAAAGTCCCCCTCTGTCGCCCAGGCTGGAGTGCAGTGCTGTGATTTCGGTTCACTGCAGCCCTCGCCTTCTAGGTTCAAGCAATTCTCATGCCTCAGCCTCCCGAGTAGCTAGGATTATAGGCGTGCACCAACGTGCCCAGCTAATTTTTGTATTTTTAGTAGAGACCGGGTTTCACCATGTTGGCCAGGCTGGTCTCGATCACCCAACCTCAAGTGATCCACCCGCCTCAGCCTCCCAAAGTGCTGGGATTACAGGCATGAGTCACCACGCCCAGCCCTCAGTGTTTTCTCATGTAACTCATTTTATTTTTTTTATTAACTCATTTTACTTTCACAACTATCCTTTGAGGAGGGCATTAATATCATCACCTTCGTTTTACATCCGTGGGTGCTGAGGGACCAAGCGTTTAGGTAACTTGTCCAAGGTCCCACAGCCAGGCTGTCTGGCCGCAGAATCCATGCCCTTCACAATCTACACTGGTGCTTCTCTTATGCTTCATCCAAGGAAGAAAATGGTAGATCTGGGCTTAAAAGCCAGAGTGTGACTGGAAACCCAATGCTCTTCTGCTACATGATACTCTCCCCTGTTCTAGAAAAGAGCTCAACATGCTATAGGCTCACAGGTGTCTGATTGCGCCTGAAGAAGTCAAAGTCGATTTCAGTTGGAGGTAGCATCTGAGCTCATAGTGGAGGTATATGCCAGAAGGAAGGTCAGACAAAGGGAGAAGGACAAGAACAGCTGGAATAGAAAACAATAAACTTCACCATGGCTAGCAGTTTGTTGTGGTTGGAATGTAAGCTATACCAGAGCAAAGGACTAAAGAGAACCTAGAGGCCAGGTGCAGTGGCTCACACCTGTAATCCCAGCACTTTGGGAGGCCAAGATGGGAGGATCACTTAAGCCTAGGAGTTTGAGACCGGTCTGGGCAACATAAAGAGACCTCATCTTTACAAAAAAATAAAATTTTAAAGGCATGGTGGTACACACCTGTAGTCCTATCTACTCAGGAGGCTGAGGCAGGAGGATCACTTGAGCCCAGGAGGCTGAAGCTGCAGTGAGCCATAATCATACCACTGTACTCCAGCCTGGATAACAGAGCAAGACCCTGTCCCCAAAAAAAAGAAAAAAAAAAAAGAACCTAGAGAAGTAAATAAGGGTAAGATCAGGAAGTGTGAGCTTTAACTTCCAGGCAAAAGGTAATTATTAAAAGACCATAAGGAGGCCAGGCGTGGTGGCTAACACCTGTAATCCCAGCACTTTGGGAGGCCAAGGCAGGTGGATCACCTGAGGCCAGGAGTTTGAGACCAGCCTGGCCAACATGGTGAAACCCCATCTCTACTAAAAATATAAAAGTTAGCCAGGTGTGGTGGCCTGTAATCCCAGCTACTCGGGAGGCTGAGGCAGGAGAATCGCTTGAACCTAGGAGGCAGAGGTTGCAGTGAGCCGAGATCGCACCACTGCACTCAGCCTGGACAACAGGGTGAGACTCGGTCTCAAAAAAAAAAAAAAAAAGAACATAAGCAGAGCATGATCTGACTTAACATCAACTTGATATCAACCCATACTTTGGAGTCTAGAACAAATATTTCCCATTCCTTTCTGTCCACATGCCCTGCTCTTGTTCTTTTTAATCTCACTTTACCTGGTTTAAATATTTATTTATTTATTTATTTATTTATTTATTTATTTATTTATTTGAGACTGAGTCTCACTCTGTCGCCCAGGCTGGAGTGTGGTGGGACAATCTCAGCTCACTGCAACCTCCGCCTCCCAGGTTCAAGTGATACTCGTGCCTCAGCTTCCCGTGTAGCTGGGATTACAGGAGCACATCACATCTGGCTAATTTTCATATTTTTAGTAGAGATGGGGTTTCACTATGTTGGCCAGGCTGGTCTCAAACTCCTGGCCTCAAGTGATCTGCCCACCTTGGCCTCCCAAAGTGCTGGGATTGCAGGTGTTAGCCACAAGCGCCTGGCCTAAATGTGTATAATGTGGGAGAAGAAGACGAAAAATCTGGACTGCCTTTCCCCTAGCAATTCTCAGCAGCTCTCAATGCCACTCAAGCCTGCTGACCTGCAGGAGTTATTAATGATGACAGAGTGCTGTTGAAAGCAATAAGCAATGTGATGAAATTACAACCAAAATCACGCTTTCTAGATTGATGTGGTTGGGTACATTTTGAGTGACAGTGGTCCTATTAGTAATACTCATATAGGGCTTTATAGTATACCAAGCGTTTTTACATGCACTCTGTTGTTTGATCATCAAAACAAACCAAGGAGGTAGGTGTTATCCCATTTCACAGATGTGGAAACTGAAGCTTCCAGAGCTTGTTTGGGTAAGTAGAAAGAATGAACACAGAACTCCAGACTTCCAGTCTCATCCTCTCTCCTTGCCTTCCTGCCTTGCCTTCCTCCCTCTTTAACAATATTTTCTTTTGTTTTGTTTTTGTTTTTATATGTTTTAATTTTCCCGTATGAGTGGGACAGCAAAAGCCAGGAGACTTGATTTGTCCTCCCCTGTCTTGTGTAGGGTTAGCCCACTGTGGCCCCTACGCTTGCTAATGCAGCCCCGTGATGTTTTTCCAGATCCCTCCTGTCACCCTTAGTGGCTCTTGATCCTGATGGATCAAGAGTGTGCTTCTTGGCTAGGTGCAGTGGCTCGCACCTATAATGCCAGCACTTTGGGAGGCCAAGGTCGGGGGAACACTTGAGGTCAAGAGTTAGAGACCAGCCTGGCCAACATGGTGGAACTCCATCTCTAGTAATACAAAAATTAGCCGGGCATGGTGGCGGGCACCTATAATCCCAGCTACTTGGGAGGCTGAGGCAGGAGAACTGTGTGAACCTGGAGGCAGAGGTTGCAGTGAGCCAAGATCTCGACACTGCACTCCAGCCTGGGCAACAGAGTGAGACTCCATCTAAAAAAAAAAAAACACCACCACCATCACCAACAACAACAACAGAAAGAGTGTGCTCTTTGGCATGGCACAGAAGACTTTCTGCGTCCTGTCTTCTGTCCTCCTGTGACCAACCATCCTGGTTTGCCCAGAACTGAGGGACAGGGGACTTTCACTGCTAAAACTGGGACAGTTCTGGGCAAAGTGGAGCAGTCGGTTACTCTTGTTCTCCCTCTCCAGCTGCCTAATCTGCCACTCTCAAACTCCAACTTCTAAGATCCCAGCAATTGCTGTCCTGTTTCAACCCCCTGCCTTTGCTTATGCTGTTCTTTTTATCGAAAACACATACCTCTACCTTCTCTCAGCCACTTCCTACTTTTTCTTTAAAACTATGTTCTGGGGCCGGGTGCAGTGTCTCACGCCTGTAATCCCAGCACTTTGGGAGGCCGAGGTGGGCGGATCACGAGGTCAGGCGATTGAGACCATCCTGGCTAACACGGTGAAACCCCATCTCTACTAAAAATACAAAAAATTAGCCGGGCGTGGTGGTGGGCACCTGTAGTCCCAGCTACTCAGGAGGCTGAGGCAGCAGAATGGCATGAACCTGGGAGGCGGAGCTTGCAGTGAGCCGAGATGACGCCACTGCACCCCAGCCTGGGTGACAGAGCAAGACTCCGTCTCAAAATAAATAAATAAATAAATAAAACTATGTTCTTAAATGTAGGTACTGATTTCTTTCTTTCTTTTCTTTTCCTTTTTTTTTTTTTTTTTTTTTTTGAGACGCAGTCTTGCTCTGTCACCCAGGCTGGAGTGCAGTGGCATGAACTTGGCTCACTGCAACCTCCACCTCCCGGGTTCAAGTGATTCTCCTGCCTCAGCCTCCCGAGTAGCTGGGATTACAGGTGCATGCCACCACACCCAGCTAATTTTTGTTTTTAGTAGAGATGGGGTTTCACCATGTTGGCCAGGCTGATCTCAAACTCCTGACCTCAGGTGATCCACCTGCCTTGGCCTCCCAAAGTGCTGGGATTACAGGTGTGAGCCACCACACCCAGCTTGTTTCTTTCTTTTTTCAATTAAAAAATATATATATATGGAATGCTGGTGGGGCTCGGTGGCTCACGCCTATAATCCCAGCACTTTGGGAGGCTGAGGCGGGCAGATCATGAGGTCAGGAGTTTGAGACCAGCCTGACCAACATGGTGAAACCCCTTCTGTACTAAAATTAGCCAGGCATGGTGGCATGTGCCTGTAATCCCAGCTAAGGCTGAAGCAGGAGAATTGTTTGAACCCAGGAGGTGGAGGTTGCAGTGAGCCGAGATCACGCCACTGCACTCCAGCCTGAGCAACAGAAAAAAAAAAAAAGGAATGCTTCACGAATTTGTGTGTCATCCTTAAGCAGGGGGCATGCTAATCTTGTATCATTCCAATTTTTGTATATGTGCTGCCGAAGCCATCACCAAAGCATTTGTTTCTTTGACTGTATTGTGAACTGAATGTTTGTGCCCCCCAACAATTATATGTTAAAATACTAACACTGAAGGTGAGGGTAGTAGGAGGTGGCATCTTTATAACGTGATTAGGTCATAAGGGGGAGCCCTTACAAATGGTATCAGTAGATACCATTTGTGGATATCTACTGTGGGTGCAGTGGCTGATGCCTATAACCCCAGCACTTTGGGAGGCCAAGGCAGACGGATCATGAGGTCAAAAGATCGAGACCATCCTGGCCAACATGGTGAAACCTCGTCTCTACTAAAAATATGAAAATTAGCTGGGTGTAGTGGCTCACACCTGTAGTCCCAGCTACTCGAGAGGCTGAGGCAGGAGAATCGCTTGAATCCGGGAGGCAGACGTTACAGTGAGCCGAGATTGTGCCACTGCACTCCAGCCTGGTGACAGAACGAGACTGTCTAAAAAAAAAAAAAATCAAAAACAAACAACAACAACAACAAAAAAAAACAAATGGTATTAGTTTCCTTATAAGAAGAGACACGAGAGAGGTGATATTTTTTTCTCTCCCATATGAGGATACAATGAGAAGATAGCCATCTACAAACTAGAAAGAGTGCCCTCACAAGACACCAGATCTGTCAGCCACCTAATCTTGGACTTCCCAGTCTCTAGAACTGTGAGAAATACATGCTTGCTGTTTAAAATGTTTATTCTTTAAGCCACTTGCTCTATGGTATTCTGTGATAGCATTCTGAATGAAAACAGGCTGTCTCTTCCAGAATATGTTATGCTTCTTTGTAAGGCATCTTTTCATCCCAGTCTGTTGTAGAATTCCTGGCATGTAGTAGGCAAGTAATAAAGCTATGCAAGCAGATCAAATGGTGCTAGGACTCTGTAAGAATTTTTCTCAGTTCCCTTCCACAGATCTCTTGCCAGAGAGAAAAGGTTCCCCTCAGGGCAGCAAGGTAGAAGACTCAAGAAGTGAGCAGAGTTGAGATCATAGAAGGCTTGGCTTTCCATGCTTAGGGGTGCAGGCTTTCATGTGTTTGCAATGGAGAGTCATTAACAGGACAAAAAAAAAATCGGTGGCCCTTTGTCTATGAACTCAATAAGAGCCTGGGCAAGAAAAAAAGAAATGTAGGTAACCAGCCCAGCAAGAATAGCAACAAAGAGGCAACACTCAAGCCTCCTAGTATGTCTAGAGTTCTGTACACCCTCCTCAGGGCTAGAAGGGCCTCAGTGTCTGAGTCTACCTGAGCCCACAGGTGGAAGAACAAAACAGGAAACATTTCCTGACCCAAGAAAATAGTTTAAATTGCAAAGGCACACATTACAGTTAGGTACAATATAAACAATTCCCTGGCACATTTATTGTCAAACTTTAGTGTACGTCAGAATCACCTGTAGGGCTTGTTAACACAGAGATTGCTGAGTCCCATCCTCAGAGATCTGATTCAGTAGGTTTGAGATGTGGCCTGGGAATCTGCATGTCTAACAAGTTCCTAGGTGGTGCTGCTGGTCTGGAGACAATGCTTCTAGGACCACCACTCCAGAACCCACTCCACCTCTCTCTCATCAACGGATAACTTGCCTGTCCTTGATTCAAGGCTTGCCTCTTTCCTTGCTAACAACATCCCTCAATCTCCTTTCAGGGACTCATTCTCCTTTGGACATTTTCAGATCTGTGCTATGGGTGGGGAGGACAAAATAACACCTTCCCTCATCAGAGCTACCTTAACCCTCACTCTACTTCTGGCTTTTTCTTACAACTTCAAAAATTGTTTGTGGCCGGGCGTGGTGGCTCACGCCTGTAATCCCAGCACTCTAGGAGGCCGAGGCAGGTGGATCACCTGGGGTCAGGAGTTCGAGACCAGCCTGGCCAACGTGGCAAAACCCCGTCTCTACTAAAAATACAAAAATCAGGCGGGCGTGGTGGTGCGCGCCTGTAATCCCAGCTACTCTGGAGGCTGAGACAGGAGAATCGCTTGAACCCAGGAGGCAGATGTTGCAGTGAGCCGAGATCGCACCACTGCACTCCAGCCTGGGTGACAGAGCAAGACTCTGTCTCAAAAAAAATACAAAAATAAAAATTGTTTTTATTGACTACTTTCATTTTCTCACCATTCATTCTCTCTTTAACCTCTTGTAATCTTTCTTTTATCCTGTCTAGCACTCTGTTATTCATAAAGAGTATTTATAAGCTGGGCGCGGTGGCTTATGCCTGTAATCCCAGCACTTTGGGAAGCCGAGGCAGGTGGATCATTTGAGGTCAAGAGTTCGAGCCAGCCTGGCCAACATGGCGAAACCTCGTCTCTATTGAAAATACAAAAATTAGTTGGGTGTGGTGGCACGCGCCTGTAATCCCAGCTACTCGTGAGGCTGAGGCAGGAGGATGGCTAGAACCTGGGAGGCTGAGGTTGCAGTGAGTGGAGATAGTGCCACTGCACTCCAACCTGGGCGATAGAATGAGACCCTGTCTTAAAAAAAAGAAGCACAAGAAGAGATTGCCCTTCTTGCCTTTGAGTACAGTTTTCCTGAAGATGTGAATGGTTGAAGCTGTGACAGCCATTTTGTTAGAATGAAGGCTTACATCTGAGCACAAAACGCAACACATTGAGGATGCCAAAGCAGAACGTTGAGAAGCATCTGGGTTATCAACATCATTTTGCAACTAATTAACCAATTCCAGAATTACCTGTCTTCAGACTTCTTGCTATGTGTAATGATAATCCCCTATTTTTTTCTTTGAGCTGGTGCTTTTCTTTTTTCTTTTTCTTTTTCTTTTTTTTTTCTTTTTGAGACGGAGTCTCGCTCTGTCGCCCAGGCTGGAGTGCAGTGGCGCGATCTCGGCTCACTGCAAGCTCCGCCTCCCGGGTTCACGCCATTCTCCTGCCTCAGCCTCCCAAGTAGCTGGGACTACAGGCGCCCACCACCGCGCCCGGCTAATTTTGTTTTTGTATTTTTAGTAGAGATGGGGTTTCACCGTGTTAGCCAGGATGGTCTGGATCTCCTGACCTCGTAATCTGCCCGCCTCGGCCTCCCAAAGTGCTGGGATTACAGGCGTGAGCCACTTTGCCCGGCCGCTTTTCTTTTCTTTTCTTTTCTTTTTTTTTTTTTTTTGAGACAGAGTCTCACTCTGTCGCCTCTGGCTGGAGTGCAGTCGTGCGATCTCAGCTCACTGCAACCTCTGTGCCTCCTGGATTCAAGCGATTCTCCTGTCTCAGCCTCCTGAATAGCTGGGATTACAGGAGCCCGCGACCACACCCAGCTAATTTTTGTATTTTTTTTAGTAGAGACGGGTTTTCACCAAGTTGGCCAGGCTGGTCTCAAACTCCCGACCTCAGGTGATCCACCCGCCTCGGCCCCCCAAAGTGTTGGGATTAAAGGAGTGAGCCACCGCTCCAGGCTCACCCCTTTAGAATCTACTTGCTACTCTGAGTACCTTCTTACAAATGCAATTGCGGTGCTTCTCACAGATTCATTTAAAAAAAAAAAAAAAAGAGGCCGGGCGCGGTGGCTCACGCCTGTAATCCCAGCACTTTGGGAGGCCGAGGCGGGCGGATCACGAGGTCAGGAGATCGAGACCATCCTGGCTAACACGGTGAAACCCCGTCTCTACTAAAAGCACAAAAAATTAGCCGGGCGTGGTGGCAGGCGCCTGTAGTCCCAGCTACTCGGGAGGCTGAGCCAGGAGAGTGACGTGAACCCAGGAGGCGGAGCTTGCAGTGAGCCAAGATTGCGCCACTGCACTCCAAAGACTTAAAGTCCAATGTTAAAAAAGGGAGAAAATTACCCAGGATATTTTGTATCCTGAGTATACGTTATATAGAGATTGGTGGTGGTGGTGATTTTTGTTGCATTTGGGAGTTGCTATGAAAGTTGAGGGACTAATTTTTTTTTTCTTTTTGCTTAGGCAAACTCCTGAAAACTACTTCTCTTCCTATTTTCATGCAGAGAAACTTAATTTCTCCTTGCCTTTTCTCCCCCTGTGGAGTTAAAAATAGTATGGATGCATTTATTTTGTGTCAATTTCCATTAGGATGCCTGCAGATACTAACAGATTCTTCAAAGTCCAAAAAGCAACCTCAGATTTTCACATTGGGGTAAGTGGAAAATAGAAGGCCCTTGATTCCTATTAACTAACCTGATTGGGTATCACCATTGTTTTCATTGCTAATAATTGTTTTCCAATGAGAATATGAATATTTTTATTTTAATGGAAGTTTTATACCTACAGTAAATTCATAGGCATTAGTTCATTCACTACTAAAATGTATACTTCTCTGAACTCAGACACACAGGCCATTTAACAGGATACATGTGACATAATAAATTAAAGTGACATGAAAATGAAAGTTTCATCTATTTAGAACTGCAGAGAAGATTTCAGGTTGTCAGATTATATGTTATTACTAAGTCTTGGTTATTGAGGTTAGTGCAGTAAATTGATTGAGTGCTTCATTTAAAATACTAATTGAGCACCTGTCTGTAAACAGCAGTTAGGCAATATGGGTGAATACTAAAAAGGTAACTTTGGTAATATTGGGAATACTAAAAATATATACAGAGAGAACGAGCACGAAAGTTTCATTAAAGAAAAGTGTAATGGAAGACATTTGACATATACATAAGAAAAACTCATTAATAATGAAAAGCAACCATACAAGAAATTTAGAGAAGCAGAGTGCCGAGGGAGTGGGGGCGGTGGGAGGCGGTAAGTGCTAAGCATCGGTCCCCTCAGCAGTTTGAATGATTTTATGAAGCAGGTAAGATTCCTTCATAGGAAGCTGAGAGAGGGTGAGGGTAAGTGGAGGGGCTTGGATGATCACAGTATGAAAAAATGGGAAAAATGGAAGGAAGACTATTCTATTCAAGAAGACCTAACAGCAAAGCCATGCTCATGGACCAGTGACTAGGCCAATCTGACCAGAGCAGAGATTTCAGATGGGAAAAAGCGTGAAAATCATATTTTAGTAGCGTTGGAAAATATCTAAGATTTCATCAGCAAGTTTCCTGGAAGAGATTGAGACTGGAAGGTTAGTTTGATTTATCAGTGTCTAGTAAAGTTGAAAACACACATACGATATGTTCTAGTCAATGCTTGGCAGGAAACAGAATGAGCTCTCACCCTGGGTAATTGAGGACAATTCAATAAAAGAACTATTTACCAAAATGTGGGCAGGGTTAATGGCAACCTTAAAAAGCAACAAGGGTAGCAATAGCAGGGGAGCCTGGGGGACTTCATTGCTGCCCCCAGGCCTGAAGAGGCAAAGAGAGGGAATGGTGATCAGAACTGCAGAACACAGGGAGAATAGCAGGGGCAGTAGGAGAGCTCCTTGACAGGAGGCCTTTGGTGGAGGAATGCAGCCAACCCACAGAGGCCCAGCAGGACGGGAGCCAGGAGAATAAATGCCCAGATCACACTCTCCTCCCACCCTCTGCTTTCCTGCTGGCATCTTCCAGAGGCCAAATCCAACAAGAAGTCAGAGGGAAAGGAAATTCATGGCTAGCAGTTCATAAAGGTCAGCTTCCTGGGGCCAATGCAGGGAGGAAGAAAGAGAAGATCAGAGGAGCAAATGGAAAACATCCAGTATACCACGTGACCCACAATTCTGTTACAGGACCACAACACTACCCCAAAGGTAGCCATTGGGTCAGGGTTTCTGCACTATAGTCCCATCTGGGTTGCCAGAAATATGTTACAAGGAAGGGGTCCCGATCTAGACCCCAAGAGAGGGTTCTTGGATCTCGCGCAACAAAGAATTCAGGGCGAGTTCGCAGTGCAAAGTGAAAGCAAGTTTATCAAGAAAGTAAAGAAATAAAAGAATGGCTACTCCATAGAGCAGCCCAGAGGGCTGCTGGTTGCCTGCTTTTATGGTTATTTTTGAGGTTATGCTAAACAAGGGGTGGATTATTCATGCCTCCCGTTTTTAGACTACATTAGGGTCACTTCCTGACGCTGCCATGGCATTTGTAAACTGTCATGGCGCTGGTGGGACTGTAGCAGTGAGGACGAGCAGAGGTCACTCTCGTTGCCATTTTGGTTTTGGTGGGTTTTGGCTGGCTCTTTTACCGCAAGCTGTGTTTGTTTGTTTGTTTGTTTTGAGACGGAGTTTCGCTCTTGTTGCCCAGGCTGGAGTGCAATGGAGCGATCTCGGCTCACCGCAACCTCCGCCTTCCGGGTTCAAGCGATTCTCCTGCCTCAGCCTCCGGAGTAGCTGGGATTACAGGCATGCGCCACCACTCCTGGCTAATTTTGTATTTTTAGTAGAAACGGGGTTTCTCCATGTTGGTCGGGCTGGTCTCCAACTCCCGACCTCAGGTGAGGTCTCCCAAAGTGCTCGGCCTTCCAAAGTGCTCGGCCTTCCAAAGTGCTCGGATTACAGGAGTGAGCCACCGCGCCCGGCCTTACTGCAAACTGTTTTATCAGCAAGGTCTTTATGACCTGTATTTTGTGCTGACTTCCTATCTCATCCTGTAACTTAGAATGCCTTAACCTTCTGGGAATGCATTCCAGTAAGTTTCAGCTCATTTTACCCAGCTTCTATTTAAGATGGAGTTGCTCTGGTTCACACGCCTCTGACAATTCTACTCTAAATTTCACACCGTATAGAAACTTCCACGTGTGCAAAAGGACAAGCACAAATATTGTCTTGCAGCATCGTTTTTAGTAGCTCTAAATTGGGGAAAAACTGAATGTTCATCAATACGGGGCTACGTAAATTGAGGTGTATTCATTGATAGAATGTAGTGCAGCCATTAAAATGAATGAACTGGATATATATAAGCATTTGTGTGTGTTTGTGCACGCGTGCACATGCATGTTTTAGAGGGATACATGTAGTATGACATACTGAATAAAAATATTTAAAACACACAGAAAAAGCAATTGTATATTGTTTCTACCTACATGTTATGTAATAGAAGTATAAAAACATGAGTAAGGCCGGGCACGGTGGCTCACACCTGTAATCCCAGCACTTTGGAAGGCCGAGGTGGGTGGATCACAAGGTCAAGAGATGGAGACCATCCTGGCCAACATGGTGAAACCCTGTCTCTACTGAAAATACAAAAATTAGCTGGGCATGGTGGCACGTGCCTGTAGTCCCAGCTACTCGGGAGGCTGAGGCAGGAGAATCACTTGAACCCGGCAGGCGGAGGTTGCAGTGAGCTGAGATTGTGCCACTGCACTCCAGCCTGGCAACAGAGCCAGACTCTGTCTCAAAAAAAAAAAAAAAAAAAAAGAGTAAAAGAATATATGAAGTCGCCTGTAATCCCAGCACTTTGGGAGGCCGAGTCAGGCAGATGACTTGAGGTCAGGAGTTCGAGACCAGCCTGGCCAACATGGCGAAACCCTGTCTCTACTAAAAATACAAAAAAATTAGCTGGGCATGGTGGTGTGTTCCTGTAACCCCAGCTACTCAGGAGGCTGAGGCAAGAGAATCGCTGGAACCCAGGAGGTGGAAGTTGCAGTGAGCTGAGATTGCACCACTGCACTCCAGTGTGGGCAACAGAGCGAGACTCTGTCTCAGAAAAAAAAAAGAATACATGAAATCAGAGAAACTCAAATTGTGATAGTAGTTTCTTCTGGTGAAGGAAGAAAAGAGAATGATATCAGGGAAGATGAAAAAAGAGACTGTATTAGTAAGGCTTCTCCAGAGAGAAAGAATCAACAGGATCAATGGATGCATAGGTAGATAGATAGATAGATAGATAGATAGATAGATAGATAGATAGATAGACAGACAGACAGACAGACAGACAGACAGATGAGAGGGGATTTATTAGAGGAATTAGCTCAAGTGATATGGAGGCTGAAAAATCTCATGACAGTCCATCTGCAAGCTGGAGACCCAGGGACACTAGGAGCATGGCTCAGTCCAGGTCTAAAAGCCAAAAAACCAGGGAAACTGATGGTGTAATTATCCATCCCAGGTGGAAGGCCTGAGAACCTGGAGTGCCCCTGGTATAAGTCCCAGAGTACAAAGACAGGAGAGCCTGGAGTTCTGACTTCCAAGGGCAGAAGAATGTGTCGCAGCTCCAGGAGAGAGAGAGAAAGAATTTCTTTCCTCCGCCTTTTGATTCTATCTGGGGGCCCCAAGGCAATCGGATCGTGCCCGCCCACATGGAGGGCATATCTTCCCTCCTTTATCCAGCAACTCACACACCAGTCTCCTCTGGAAACACTCCCACTGATACACCCAGAAGTAATGCCTTACCAGCTATCTAGGTATCACTTAATCCAGTCAAGTTGACACGTAAAATTAAGCGTCACAGGGGCCTTCAACTGTATTGCTTATTTCAGAAAGATCTGAGGCAAATATGACAAGTCTAGTGATACTGCTATGAAGGGGGAAAAAGGCAGAGGAAGGAGATGGGGAATCATGGTGGATGACATTTAAAATCTAGGAAGAATGATTACAAGAATCCCTCCTGGGGAGGGGATATCAGCGCAGAGACCTAAATGAGGGGAGGGTAGAGATGCAAACATCCAGGGGACCAATACTCCAAGCTGAGGGAGCGGCAGGTACAGACACTAAGGGGTATCCTGTTTGGCTCATGACTGCAGTCCCAGCACTTTGGGAGGCTGGAGCAGGAGAATTGCTTGAGCCCAAGAATTGAAGACCAGCCTGGGCAACATAGCAAGACCCTGTCTCTACAATTAAAAAAAAATTAGCCAGGCATTGTGGTACATGCCTGTAATCCCAGCTACTCAAGAAACTGAGGCAGGAAGATCATTTCAGCTCAAGGGGTTGAGGCTGCAGTGAGCCAAGATCACAGCACTGCACTCCAGTGTGGGTGACAGAGCAAGAACCTGTCTCTTAAAAAAAAAAGTGTATATATATGGAAAAAAATATATTTATATAAGGAGAATATATATATATTTCCATATATATATTTATATAAGGAGAATATGTATATTCTCTAAAAATATATATGTTTTTCCTTATATCTGAAAAAATATATATATATACTCCCTAAAAAGGAATTCCCTGCATTTTAAAACTGAAATATATATAAATGTTTTATATACATAACATTACATTTATATTTTTATATATATATATATATATATAGTGTTCTGTTTATGTTGTTGTTGTTGTTGTTTTGAGACAGAGTCTCACTCTATTGCCCAGGATGGAATGCACTGGTGCGATCTCTGCTCACTACAACCTCTGCCTCCTGGGTTCAAGCAATTCTCCCGCCTCAGCCTCCTGAGTAGCTGGGATTACAGGCACATGCCACCATGCCCGGCTAATTTTTGTATTTTTAATAGAGATGGGGTTTCACCTTATTGGCCAGGCTGGTCTCGAACTCCTGACCTCAAGTGATCCACCCACCTTGACCTCCCAGAGTGCTAGGATTACAGGCGTGAGCCACCACACCCAGCGTAAAGTGTTCTGTTTTAAGTGAACAATCCAGCATATTTAGTATATTAACAATGTTGTACAACCACAATCTCTAATTCCAAAACATTTCAATCACTATAAAATGAATCACTCTGTGCCCATAAGCACTTTCTCCCCATTTCTTCCTCTCCCCAACCCCTGGAAACCACCAACCTGCATTCTGTCTGTATACATATACCTTTCGTGACTATTTGATATAAATGGAATCATACAATATGATCTTTGTGTCTGGCTTCTTTGACTTAGCATAATATTTTGAGGTTTATCTATATACGTTGTAGCAAATACCAGCACTTCATTCCTTTTTATGGTTGTGTGATACTCCATGTACATATATTTGCAGTCATAATATTAAAAAATTTTTAATTGTGGTAAAATCACATAACAAAATTTACTATATTAATCATTTTAAGTGTACGGTTCAGTGGCATTAGTAATGTACATTCATGTTGTTTACAACCATCACCACCATCCACCTCCAGAACCTTATTCTTCACTCCAAACTGAAACTCCATATCCATTATTATTGTTATTATTATTATTATTATTTTATTATTACTATTTTTTGAGATGGAGTTTTGCTCTTATTGCCCAGGCTGGAGCGCAATGGCACAATCTCGGCTCACCGCAACCTCCACCTCCCGGGTTCAAGCGATTCTCCTGCCTCAGCCTCCCAAGTAGCTGGGATTACAGGCATGCACCACCATGTCCAGCTAATTTTGCAGTTTTAGTAGAGACAGGGTTTCTCCATGTTGGTCAGGCTGGTCTCGAACTCCCGACCTCAGGTGATCTGCCCGCCTCGGCCTCCCAAAGTGCTGGGATTACAGGCGTGAGCCACCGCGCCCGGCCCCAAAACTCCATACCCATTAAACAATAACTCCCAATTGTCCCCTCCCTCAGCCCCCGGCAACCACCATTCTAATTTCTGTCTGTATGAATTTGACTATTCCAGGTACTTCATATAAGTGGAATCATACAGTATTTGCCTTTTTGTGACTGGCTTATTTCATTTAGCATAATGTCCTCAAGGCTCATCCGTGTTGTATTATGTGTCAGAATTTTCTTCCTTTTTAAGGATAATATTTCATTCCAAATGTATAGACCACATTTTGTTTATCATTCATCTGTTGATGAGCACTTAGGCTGCTTCTACGTCTTGGCTATTGTGAATAATGTTGCTATGAACATGGGTGTACCAATATTTGTTCAGGAGTCTGCTTTCAATTCTTTTTCTTTTTTTGAGACAGGGTCTTGCTCTGTCGCCCAGGCTGGAGTGGAGAGCAGTGGTGCCATCACAGTTAATCGCAGCCTCTACCTCCTGGGCTCAAGTGATCCTCCCACTTTGGCCTCCCACGTAGCTGGGATCACCAGTGCACACCTCAATGCTTTGCTAACTTTTTAAAAATGTTTTTGTGGAGATGGGGTTTTGCCATGTTGGCCAGGCTGGTCTCAAACTCCTGGGCTCAAATGATCTCCTGCCTAGGTCTCCCAAAGTGTTGGGATTACAGGCATGAGCCACCATGCCTAGCCTGCTTTCAATCCTTTTGGTATATATCCAGAGGTGGGATTGCTGGATCATATAATAATTCTACTTTTGATTTTTTTTGAAGAATCATTATGCTGTTTTCCATAATGGCTGCATTATTTTACATTCCTAGCAACAATGTGAAGTCTTGGTTTGTGTGTGTGTGTGTCTGTGTTGTTTTTTTTGAGATGATGTCTCGTTCTGTCACCCAGGCTGGAGTGCAGTGGCGCCATCTTGCCTTACTGCAACCTCCACCTCCCGGGTTCAAGTGATTCTCCAGCCTCTCAGCCTCCCGAGAAGCTGGGATGACAGGCACGTGCCACAATACCTGGCTGTTTTTGTATTTTTAGTAGAGATGGGGTTTCACCATGTTTGCCAGGCTGGTCGCGAATTCCTGACTTCAGGTGATCCACTGCCTCAGCCTCCCAAAGTGCTGGGATTACAGGTGTGAGCCACTGCGCCCAGCCAAGTCTTGGTATTTTAATGTTCCCCAATTCAGTGTGTGTGGAGAGTACTGGGCAGCTCTGGAGTGGACATTCACCTGCATGTTATCTGATGGGTCTCTCTCCTTGGTTCAAGAGTGCAAGGCCAGGTAGTAAGCCAGATGTGGCTTATGTAAGTGATTAATTTTATGTGTCAACTTGACTGGGAACTTAGTGTTGAATGTGATGCCCAGATTAAACATTATTTCTAGGTGTGTCTGGAACTCGGTACTACCACCTTACTCCCCAGGTGGTCTGGGAGAGGCAGCAACAGAAAGTAGACAGTTTATTAGGGACCCAGCAGATGCTGGAAGCCCAGGGAAGGGAGTTTCAGGGCCCTGCATCCCCCTACCTGTCCCCACAAATGCACCAGCTGCTAAGACCACACCTCAGCCTCCTTCACCGGACCTCTAACCCCCCAACTATCTCTTCCTGTGGTTGGTCAGTCTATCCACATAGGTGATGTTATTTGTCCAGCTGGCATCTACAATTCATCAGTCAGAACCTTGGTGATGACCTGTCCAGAGTGGCAAGGGGTCCAGGCAGATGAGGGTGTTTCCAGATGAGATGAGCATTTGAATTGGTAAACTCAGAAAAGTACTTTGCCCTCCCCAGTGTGGATGGACACCGTCCAATTTGTTGAGAGCCTAAACAGAACAAAAGGTAACAAAATAAGGAATTCACCTCCCCCCACTTTTTTTGTTGTTGTTGTTGTTCCTGTCTCACTGCTTGAGCAGGGACATCTCATTTCTTCTTCTCCTGCTCTCAGACTGGGATTTATGCCATCAGCTCCCCTGGTTCTTAGGCCTTTGGAAATGGATGGAATTATACTACTGGCTTTCCTGGGGCTCTAGCTGGCAGATGGTAGATTACGAGACTTCTCAGCCTTCATAACTGCATGAGCCAATTCCTTATCATCTATCTACCTATCTATAAGTCCCTTTGGTTCTGTTTCTCTAGAAAATCCTAATATAGGACAGGTGTAGTGGCTCATGCCTATAATCCTAGCACATTGGAAGGTCGAGGCAGGCAGATTACCCGAGCTCAGGAGTTTGAGACCAGCCTGGGCAACATGGCAAAACCCTATCTCTACAAAAAAAAAAAAAAATGCAAATATTAGCCAGGCATAGTGGCATGTACCTGTGGTCCCAGCTACTCAAGAGACTGAGGTGGGAGGATCACTTGAGCCCAGGAGGTTGAGGCTATAGTGAGTCATGATCACGCCACTGCATTCCAGCCTGGGCAACAGAGCCAGACCCTGTCTCAAAAATAAATAAATAAATAAGAAAATCCTAATATACCAGGTGTTCATTATAAGTAGCTAGGGGGTTGGGACAGGAAAATAAAGAAGTTGGTGGTGCAGGAAGAGGCTTGGAGTCAGGGATCAAGGGGCTATTTGAGGGCTTGGACTAGGCTTATGCCTCCAAGAATGGAAAAGGGATGGAAGCAAGAGACATTAGGATATGGCTAGGATCAAAAAATCAGATGATAGGCCGGGTGCAATGGCTTACGCCTGTAATCCTAACACTTTCGGAGGCTGAGGCGGGCAGATGATGAGGTCAGGAGTTGGAGAACAGCCTGGCCAACATGGTGAAACCCCGTCTCTACTAAAAATACAAAAATTAGCTGGGCGTGATTGCATGCGCCTGTAGTCACAGTTACTCGGGAGGCTGAGGCAGGAGAATTGCTTGAACCCGGGAGGCAGACGTTGTAGTGAGCCGAGATCACGCCACTGTACTCCAGCCTGGGCAACAGAGTGAGACTCTCTCTCAAAAAAAAAAAAAAAATTAGATGATAACAAATAGTGTAAAGGATGTGGAGAAATCAGTTCCCCCACACATTGTTGGCAGAAATGTAAAATGGTGCTTTGGAAAATATTCTGACAGTTCTGAAACAATTAAATGTACAGTTACTCTATGGCAGGGCATGGTGGCTCACGCCTGTAATTCCAGCATTTTGGGAGGCCAAGGTGATTGGATCACCTGAGGTCAAGAGTTTGAGACCAGTCTGGCCAACGTGGTAAAACCCCGTCTCTACTAAAAATACAAAAATTAGCCAACATGGTGGTGCGCACCTGTAGTCCCAGTTACTCGGGAGGCTGAAGCAGGAGGATCGCTTGAACCTGGGAGGCAGAGGTTGTGGTGAGCTGAGATCTCGCCACTGCACCCAGCCTGAGTGACAGAGCGAGACTCTGTCTCAAAAAAAATATATATATATAGATAGATAGATAGATAGATAGATAGATAGATAGATAGATGATAGATACGCAGTTACTCTGTGACCCAACAATTCCACTCCTAGGTGTATACCCAAAAGAAATGAGGACACATGTCTACCCAAAAACTTGTACATAAATGTTTACAGTAGCATTATCCATGATAGCCAAAAGGTAGAAAGAACCCAAATGTCCATCAACTGATGAATGAATAATCAAAATGTGGTATGTCCATAAATGAAATACTATTCAACCATAAAAAGGAATGGAGTACTGATAACATGCTACAACACAGACAAATCTTGAAAACATTATGCTAAGTGAAAGAAGCCAGTCACAAAATGCCACATATTATATGATTCTATTTATACGAAATGTCTAGAACAGGGAGGTCTATAGAGACAGAAAGTAGATTTTCAGTTGCTTAAGGCTGGAGATGGGGTGACATGGGGATCTTAAGATGATACCCCAAATGTTCTAAAACTGATTGTGGTGATGATTGCATGTATCTATGAATATACTAAAAACCACTGAACCATACACTTTATTATTTTTATTTTTTTTGAGATGGAGTTTTTGTTCTTGTTGCCCAGGCTGGAGTGCAATGGCACAATCTCAGCTCACTGCAACCTCCGTCACCTGGGTTCAAGTGATTCTCTTGCGCTAGCCTCCCGAGTAGCTGGGATTACAGGCATGTGCCACCACACCTGGCTAATTTTGTATTTTCAGTAGAGACGGGGTTTCTCCGTGTTGGTCAGGCTGGTCTCGAACTTGTAAACTCAGGTGATCCGCCCACCTCGGCCTCCCAAAGTGCTGGGATTACAGGCATGAGCCACCACACTCAGCCTGAATCGTACACTTTAAATGGTGAATTGTGTGGTGTGTGAATTGTATCTCAATAAAGCTGTTAAAGGGACAGAAGTCTGGGCACAGTGGCTCGCGACTGTAATTCCAGCACTTTGGGAGGCCGAGGTGGGCGGATCACGAGCTCAGTTTTTTTTGTTTGTTTGTTTTGAGACGGAGTCTCCCTCTGTCGCCCAGGCTGGAGTGCAGTGGCGCGATCTCTGCTCACTGCAAGCTCCGCCTCCCGAGTTCACGCCATTCTCCTGCCTCAGCCTCCGGAGTGGGATTACAAGCGACCGCCACCACGCCCGGCTAATTTTGTTTTTGTTTTTGTTTTTGTTTTTTTGGTATTTTTGGTAGAGACGGGGTTTCACCGTGTTAGCCAGGATGATCTCGGATCTCCTGACCTCGTGATCCGCCCACCTCGGGCTTCCGAAGTGCTGGGATTACAGGCGTGAGCCACCGCGCCTGGCCACGAGGTCAGGATTTCGAGACCAGCCTGGCCAACACAGTGAAACCCCATCTCTACTAAAAATACAAAGATTAGCCAGGCATGGTGGCAGGCGCCTGTAGTCCCAGCTACTTGGGAGGCTGAGGCAGGAGAATCGCTTGAACCCGGGAGGCTGAGGTTGTGGTGAGCCAAGATCACGTCACTGCACTCCAGCCTGGGCAACAGAGCGAGACTCCCTCTCAAAAAATAGAAATAAACGGGACAGAAGCCAGGCGTGGTGGCTCACGCCTGTAATCCCAGCACTTTGGGAGGCCGAGGCGGGTGGATCACCTGAGGTCAGGAGTTCGAGACCAGCCTGGCCAAGGTGGTGAAACCCCCATCTCTACTAAAAATACAAAAATTAGCCAGGCGTGGTTGTGGGCACCTTTAGTCCCAGCTACTCGGGAGTCTGAGGCAGGAGAATTGCTCAAACCTGGGAGGCTGAGGCAGGAGAATTGCTCAAACCCGGGAGGCAGAGGTTGCAGTGAGCTGAGATCGCACCGCGGCACTCCAACCCGGCGACAGAGGGAGACTCCGTCTCAAAAAAAAAAAAAAAAAAAAAAACAAAATGGACAGAAGATGTAGCTTAGACTTCATGAGTGACTAGTTATGGGGGCTAGAGAGAGGAAGGAGACAAAGAGAACGTCAACTATTCAGTTCATTATGACATGGAGAATGTGACGGTAATCACCACTGATAGAAACAGGACAATATGTGGAAACTGAAAGAAATAAAAATGCAGTTTGGAGGAAGAGATCTAATAAGGTTAAGGAAAAATACTAGGGCCCTGTAAGTTATTTTTGGGTTGATTAGAATTTTACTAGCTTTCCCCTACAAACTCCAAGAAAATGTCTTTTTCATATATTTTCATATCTCATGGGCCTATATTAAGTCATGATCCTGGACCAAATGCTGACTCCATCTAGGTATGGCAGAGAAGCTAAGCATCCCTCAGTTTCCACACTGTCCTTTTTCCTGTTAGCAGAGAAACCAATGCTTTCCCCCAGTTTTCACTGAGAAAATGGCCACTTCCCAGTTTCCTCTGTTGGCTGGATATGTCCATATAACTAAGTTCAGCCCAATGGGATGGGAGGGAGAGCGATGTGTGCAACTTCTAGATCATCATCTTAAAGACAAAACTTTTTGCAGTGAATACTCTTTTTGCTCTTCCTGAGGACTGAAACATGGGCTGAGCTAGTCTCCATCACATGAGCAGGACAGTGCTTTAGGACAATTGGATAAAAGCGATCCTTATTCCTTAGTGGCAGGTGGAAGAGAATTGCTTAGCTAGCCCTGGATATCTGACCACTAGCTGTTTTGTGGTACTCAGAAATGAATTTCCATTTTATTTAAACCACTATTTTCAGGTCTCTTTGTTACCATAGTTCGGCCTCTACCGAAATTAATACACCAGTGGGGAATGGGATGAGCTTGATGCTAGTGGGCCAGGGAAGGTCCCTAAACGCTGGTGGGACCACAACCCTGGCTGGTGTCCAGGCTCTTGACACCATCACAAGAAGGAATTCAAGAATGAGTCAGAAAATAGTGAAAGTGTGGAGATTTATTGCAAAATGAAAAGTACACACTCAAGAAAGTGGAGTGAGGGCGTACTCAACAGAGAGTCACGCAATGGAGTTTGGGGTTTCTAACCTTCATGGGTTTATTTAACCGAGGGGTGGAATATTCATGAAGATTCCTGGAAAAAGGTGGAGTTTCTCAAAACTCTGGTGCCACTCATTTTTACACCAAATATGAGTCCTCCTAGAACTGTCCTGGTGCTGGTAGGTGTGTGATTGGTATGTTAATGAGTGTATAATGAGGTCCTCAGTGAAACCTAGGTCAAATCCAGTGCCATGTTTGGTCTGGTAGGTCTTAGCCAGCTCAGTCCACATCCTGTTTTTCAGGGTTTTATCAGCCCCTCGCTTCTGTAGCTATTTCATCAGTTTCCTTTTGCTAGTTATGTGAACCTGCCTCCTGGAATTTTCTGTTCTCCTGAGACCACCCTGTATTAAGGTGACTGAGTCAATTCAATCAGGGTCCACCTCTGGGGATGGGGCCAGGAGAGGGGTCATCTTCCCTGAAGCACCTGAGTTTTATATGGAACAGTGGACATCTGAATGAAAACTCAAGGTGCTTTTCCAAAGAAGAAGGGGGAAAGGATATTGAGCAATCAAAAGCAGAAAATGGGCCGGGTGCAGTGTCTCACACCTATAATCCCAACACTTTGGGAGGCTGAGGTGGGCAGATCACTTGAGGCCAGGAGTTCGAGACCAGCTTGGCCAACATGGCCAAACCCCGACTCTACTAAAAACACAAAAATTAGCCGGGCATGGTGGTGCATGCCTGTTATCTCAGCTACTTGGGAGGCTGAGGCATGAGAATTGCTTGAACCTGGGAGGTGGAGGTTGCAGTGAGCCAAGATCATGCCACTGCATTATAGTCTGGGCAACCGAGTGAGACTCTTTTGCAAAAGAAAAAAAAAAAAGCAGAAAAGGTTCACTACAACCTAGAAGAGGGTTTCTCCACTTAGGCACTACTGTCATTTGGAACTACATAATATTTTGTTGTAAGGGGCTGTCTTGTACATTGTAGAATGTTGGTAGCATCCCTAGTCTCTACTGTATATACTCCCCCCCATCATGCCAATCAAAAATATCTTCAGATCTTGCCAAATATCCCCTGGAGGGCAAAAAATTTCCCATTTGAGAAGCACTGCTCTAGAAAGGGCTTGGAGCTGCCTTTTCTGCCTCTCACTTCTAGTCTTTTTCTCATATGATTGGCAGATTTTCTTTTGTAACAAAAACATGCCATGCTTGGAAATAACAACTGTATTCTGTGCACTCATAGAGTCAAATCTAAACCCTTAAATGAGACTTACAAAACTCTTCTCAAAACAATTACTTGTCTCACTTCTCAAAAAAATTATTTGTCTCAACTACAATCCTATCCCCCCATACAGATTGCTCTAGTCATACTGAATTTTTCCCACTATTCTCAAAGTTTCCATGACTTTTTTACTCATATGCTTTTGTACATATTCTTCTTTCTGCCTGCAGTACAGACGCTGCTCTACTTGTGATGGGGGTAAATCTTAGTAAGCGCATTGTAAGTTGAAAATACTGGAAGTCAGCCGGGTACGGGTGGCTCACGCCTGTAATCCCAGCACTTTGGGAGGCTGAGGTGGGCAAATCATGAGGTCAGGAGATTGAGACCATCCTGGCCAACATGGTAATACCCCATCTCTACTAAAAATGCAAAAATTAGCTGGGCGTGGTGGCGCATGCCTGTAATCCCAGCTACTCAGGAGGCTGAGGCAGGAGAATTGCTTGAACCAGGGAGTCAGAGGTTGCGGTGAGCTGAGATCGTGCTACTGCATTCCAGCCTGGCGACAGAGTGAGACTCTGTCTCAAAAAAAAAAAAAAAAGAACGAAAGAAAATACTCTAAGTCAAAATGCATTTACTACACCTAACCTACCAAACATTATAGCCTAGTCTAACCTACCTCAACGTGCTCAGAACTCTTACATTAGCCTACAGTTGGAAAAAGTCATCTAACACAAAGCCTATTTTATATTAAAGTGTTGAATAGTTCATGTAATTTATTGACTACTGTACTGAAAGTGGAAACAGAACGGTTGTATGGGTACTCAAAGTATGAATTCTACTAAATTTAAATCACTTTTGCACCACTGTAAAGTGAAAAAAAATCATAAGTTGGGGACCATCTGTACTTTTCTCCACTTCTCTCTTAGGGAAACTCCTATATACTCTTTTTTTTTTTTTTTTGAGACGGAGTTTTGCTCTTGTTGCCCAGGCTGGAGTGCAATGGCACGATCTCGGCTCACCACAACCTCCGCCTCCTGGGTTCAAGCAATTCTCCTGCCTCAGCCTCCCGAGTAGCTGAGATTACAGGCATGCACCACTACGCCTGGCTAATTTTGTATTTTTAGTACAGATGGGGTTTCTCCATGTTGAGGCTGGTCTCAGACTCCTGACTTCAGGTGATCTGCCCGCCTCAGCCTCCCAAAGTGCTGGGATTACAGGCGTGAGCCACCGCGCCCAGCCTGGAAACTTCTATATACTCTTTAAGACTCAATTCAAACAGGACTTCCCCTATTAAAAAAAAAAGTCCTAACATTTCCTAAGAAAACTTGGTGTCTCCATACTAAACTTTGTTCATACCTATCGGGTCATGCTTGGCACACTTTTTTGTTATTTGTGTATTAATCGCTTTTCAGCCCCCGGGGGTTCTAACAAGGTGCCTAACACAGAGAAGTTGCCCCATAAATGCTTGTTGAATGGGTGAGTGAAATGAAGGAAAAGTGCCACAGCAGTGCCTTCAAATTTCACTGACAAAACTTGTACTTTGGCCAGAGTTCATTGGCTTTTATTAGCTTAGACTGGGTTTACAACAGGTGTCTCTGTCACTAAACTGGAAAGTAGGTGAAAAGCTAACCTCAGGACACCAAATTAAATACTTTCAGCACTGTGCCATGGTAGCCCTTGGATCACAGAGCATGAAGTGTCTGAGCAGTAATTTCCAGCTGCTGCTGCCAGAGAAATAATAAATGATGTTACACAGAAAGTATCACATTATAGTTTATTATACATGAACCTCTGTGAGAGTAAGCTGTAAATGGTTCGCACCCTAGAGCATGGGCTTAGTCTTTCCAAACAAATCCATTTACTTGTTATCTTTATAAAGTCCTGATTAAAACATGTTTTGGAGATATAGATATATCTAACACATGGACCATAGTAGTCTCTTGTGAGTATCTGAATCAAAATTTTAGTATCTAGATAGCACCAAACTTAGAAAAGTATGCCCTTTTACAGAATTACAGGTTCAATTTCATTTGGCTGGACTACATGTCTTTCTACTTTAGGGTCCTAATGTCAGAATATGGTCGGACATGGTAGCTCACACCTGTAATCCCAGGACTTTGGGAGGCCAAGATGGGAGGATTCCTTGAGGCCAGGAGTTTGAGACCACCCTGGACAACAAAGTGAGACCCCATCTCTACAGAAAATAAAAAATTTGCCAGGGTTGGTGTATGTGCCTGTAGTCCTAGACGCTCACAAGGCCAAGATGGGAGGATTGCTTGAACTCAGGAAGTTGAGGCCGCAGTGAGCCATGAGTACATCACTGCACTCCAGCTTGGGTGACAGAGCAAAACCTTGCCTCAAAAAAAAAAAAAAAAAAAAAAGAAATATATCAGAATAGGCCCACTACCCCCTAGAAAATGTCCCCAAACGGCCTCTGCTGCTTCCTACTGCTGGCTGTCTTCTCACATCACTGACAGAATCATCTGTCTATTAACCCAGATATGTCATGCTTGGAACTGTGGAGTCTGTTTAGGACAGCACAATCCCGCAGTTGGGTCTGAGAATAGTAAAAATGTCACAAATGATCCACCAACTTTGGTGGAATTTTTTTTTTTTTGAGACAGAGTCTCGCTCTGTCGCCCAGGCTGGAGTGCAGTGGCGTGATCTCGGCTTACTGCAAGCTCTGCCTCCCGGGTTCTCACCATTCTCCTGCCTCAGCCTCCCGAGTAGCTGGGACTACAGGCACACGCCACCACGCCCAGCTAATTTTTTGTATTTTTAGTAGAGACGGGGTTTCACCATGTTGGCCAGGATGGTCTCCATCTCTTGACCTCGTGATCCGCCCACCTTGGCCTCCCAAAGTGCTGGGATTATAGACGTGAGCCACCATGCCCGGCTGGTGGAGTTTTTTTAACCTAAAAATTTTACTTCTGTATTAACTTTATAGCACAAATATTTTCTTCATAATACGGATAATCCAGAGGGAAGTTCAAAAGTGAAACAGATGGAGGAAGGGCAGGGGAAAAGATGGTCCCTTGAATTGGGGAGAGTAGAAGGTCTCAGGGTCCCCATGTCATGGCTTCCCTGTGCTGGTCCAGTGGATCTCAACTCGGCGGTCTACACAGCAGCACACCTGGGGAATTTAAAAAATACTGATGCTCCGGCCCTGATTGAACCAGAATTTCAGGGGACGGCCTATACAGCTACTGCTTAAATATCCATCCATGTATCCAGAGTCTGAAAAAAACCTTCAGATTCATAAACACAGAGCCCATCCCCATGTTGGAGAAGCAGAGCACGGTGATAGCCCCCACCATGAATACCAAGACCGGGGAGGGACTGGGCTTTTCCGCCATCTCCTCACTGTCCCATACGCTACCCTCAACAAAAACACAGGATAGTGTTAACAGAAGAAAGGGGAAGGACACTGGGCAGGTGCAAAAACATGACAAATATTTATTACAGTTAGTATAACTGTGCCTAAGGCTTAAAGTTCCGTGGTTTGTTTTTTTTTTGAGACAGAGTTTTGCCCTTGTTGCCCAAGCTGGAGTACAATGGCACGATCTCAGCTCACTGCAACCTCCACCTCCCGGGTTCAAGCGATTCTCCTGCCTTAGCCTCCCGAGTAGCTGGGATTACAGGCGCATGCCACCACACCCGGCTAATTTTTTGTATTTTTTGTAGAAACGGGATTTCACCATGTTAGCCAAGCTGCTCTTGAACTCCTGACCTCAGGTGATCTGCCCACCTCAGCCTCCCAAAGCACTGGGATTACAGGCATGAGCCGCCGTGCCCAGTCAAGGCTTAAAGTTCATACACCAGGCCTGAACAGCAATTACTTGCTGCCTAAGTCTTTTTTTTTTTGAGACAGTCTTGTTCTGTCGCCCAAGCTAGAGTGCCAATGGCATGATCTCAGTTCACTGCAACCTCCACCTCCCAGATTCAGGCGATTCTCCTGCCTCAGCCTCCCAAGGAGCTGGGACTACAGGCATGTGCCACCACACCTGGCTACTTTTTTTATTTTTAGTAGAGATGGAGTTTCACCATGTTTGTCAGGCTGGTGTTGAACTCCTGACCTCAAATGATCTGCCCACCTCGGCCTCCCAAAGTGCTGGGATTACAGGCATGAGCCATTGTGTCCAGACTTTTTTTTTTTTTTTTTTTTTTTGAGACAGAGTCTCCCTTTATCCCCCAGTCTGGAGTGCAGTGGCATGATCTCGGCTCACTGTAGCTTCCGCCTCCCGTGTCCAAGCAATTCTCCTGCCTCAGCCTCCCAAGTAGCTGGGATTACAGGCACATGCCACCATGCCCAGCTAATTTTTGTATTTTTAGTAGAGATGGGGTTTCACCATGTTGGCCAGGCTGGTCTTGAACCCCTGACCTCAGGTGATCTGCCCGCCTTGCCCTCCCAAAGTGCTGGGATTACAGGCGTGAGCCACTGCGCCCAGCCGCTGCCTAAGTCCTATTATAGTTCAGGACCTGGGCAAAGTTGAACTTGAACCTATAAGTAAACAAGGCTAGGGAATGCAGGATACAATACAGGTAGCAGTAAAAGGTGCGGGCATGTTTTCTTAGCTTTGAGTGAAGGGGAAAAAAATTGAGAGGGAAATTCCCCCCCCCTTTTTTTTCTGTTAATGTTGATATCTTATAATGTTGGACACTTTAAAGTAAATACTTATAATCCTCACCCCCACAGAAAAGTTTCACTTGTGTTATATAACATATACCCAATAGAATTGAGATATGATTCATAACCTATATGTGTGACTCTGTTTCTTAATCATAAAATGTGTGGTATCTGTCAATGTTAGAAGATGGAGCAGGGACTCCTCTTAGGGACCTGCCAGGTGCCCCCACCCCCACCACCACAAGCACGAAAATAAAGGACAAGTTTTGAGTTCCTTCACAGGAGATTCCAGGCACCTAGCTAGACTTGAGAAGTAAATGAGCAATCCAAGAAGAGAGCAGTAGGTGGGGCGTGGTGCTCACGCCTGTAATCCCAGCACTTTGGGAGGCCGAGGCGGGTGGATCACGAAGTCAGGAGATCGAGACCATCCTGGCTAACACGGTGAAACCCCGTCTCTACTAAAAATACAAAAAATTAGCCAGGCGTGGTGGCGGGCGCCTGTAATCCCAGCTACTCAGGAGGCTGAGGCAGGAGAATGGCGTGAACCTGGGAGGCGGAGCTGGCAGTGAGCCGAGATCACCCCACTGCACTCCAGCCTGGGCGACAGAATGAGACTCTGTCTCAAAAAAAAAAAAAAAAGAGAGAGCAGTAACTTAAAAAATAAGTCTTCTAAGCAAGTTAGAGTCACAAGCTATTTCAGTTGCCTGTAGAAACTAAAAGACAACATCTTAATGTATGTTCTTGAGTTGTTTTTTGTTTGTTTGTTTGTTTTTGAGATGGAGTCTGGCTCTGTCACCAGGCTGGAGTGCAGTGGCGTGATCTCGGCTCATTGCAACCTCTGCCTCCCGGGTTCAAGCCATTCTCCTGCCTCAGCCTCCCAAGTGGCTGGGACTACAGGCACATGCCACCACGCCCGGGTAATTTTTATATTTTTAGTAGAGACAGGGAATCACCATGTTGGCCAGGATGGTCTCGATTTCTTGACCTCATGATCCGCCCGCCTTGGCCTCCCAAAGTGCTGGGATTACAGGGGTGAGCCACCGTGCCTGTTCTTTGAGTTGTTTATCAGAAAGCTGGACCCCCACCAGATGAAAAATGCTGATCACTGTCACATAGACCTCAGATAAGGGAGAAGTAAGGACTGAACTCTGACTGTTCTGAATTTCTCCCTGAGCAGCCTGGAGGGAGTCAGGCCCACAGGCCAAACCTTAACATTCCTTTCCGATGACCCCCAGTTTTTAGACAAAGCCTTGCTCCTTAACCAACTCCAAATCAAAGAGTCTCTGAATCCAATTATGACCTGTAAGCTCCTGCTTTGAGACATCCCACTTTTTGGTGGCCAAATCAATGTATAACCTCCATATATTGATTTACTATTTTGCCTGTAACTTTTGTTTCCTTTTTTTGAGACAGAGTCTCTCTCTGTCGCCCAGGCTGCAGTGCGGTGGTGCGATCTCGGCTCACTGCAACTCTGCCTCCCGGGCTCACGCCATTCTCCTGCCTTAGCCTCCCAAGTAGCTGGGACTACAGGCACCTGCCACCATGCCCGGCTAATTTTTTTGTATTTTTGGTAGAGACGGAGTTTCACCGCATTAGCCAGGATGGTCTTGATTTTCTGACCTTGTGATCCGCCCACCTCGGCCTCCGAAAGTGCTGGAATTACAGGCCTGATCCACCATGCCCAGCCTCTTTTTTTTTTTTTCCCATTTAAAAAATATTTTTGGTCAGGCACGGTGGCTCATGCCTATAATCCCAGCACTTTGGGAGGCTGAGGTGGGCAGATCACCTGAGGTCAGGAGTTCAAAACCAGCCTGGCCAACATGGCAAAATCCTGTCTCTACTAAAAATACAAAAATTAGCTGGGCACGGTGGCACACACCTGTATTCACAACTACTTGGGAAGCTGAGGCAGGAGAATCACTTGAACCTGGGAGGCGGAAGCTGCAGTGAGCTGAGATCATGCCACTGAACCCCAGTCTGGGCAACAGAATATGACTCCGTCTCAAAAAAAAAATATATATATATATATATATATATTATATATATGTGTGTGTGTGTGTGTGTGTGTGTGTGTGTGTTTGTGTGTGTATTTATTTATTTATTTTTATAAAAAATAGAGACAGGGTCTCACTATGTTTCCCAGGCTGATCTTGAACTGGGCTCAAGCTATCCTCCTGCTTCCGCTTCCCAAAGTGCTGGGATTACAGGTGTGAACCACCTGGCCAACTTCTGCTTTCTTAAACATCCTTACCTGTAAGTCATTAGGGAGTTCAAGTCTTCAGCATTAGTTTGCTGCCCAGTTCTCCTTGCCTGGCACCAGGCAATAAATGCCTCACTTCCGCTTGCTGTAAATCCCAGCGTCAGTGTTTGTTTGTTTGTTTTTCCTGTGTGCTGCGTAAGCAGACCCAAGTTCAGTTGGGTAACAGCTAGGATTCTAAAGGTTAAGGGAAGCAAGTGAACTTTGTTTTGGCTTTTTCCCACTACACCAGAGATAAACCAGTACAGGGAGTAAAGTCCCATTTTTACAGGCTGTATATGAGAGGACCTGTGTGCAGTGCAGAGCAGCTGCTGCTCCGGGTAGAAAAGTCTTGCCTAAAGATCAAACAATCAGTATGTCACTATGAGTTCTCCTTGACCCAAGAGCTCTTGCAGGCCTGGAGGGAACATCTGTCCCAGAGTGGTCTTTATGGAGAATTTCTAGGGTTGGTCCATTAGGGAAAATGTCCCCAAGGAACATTGATTCTTACCTATATAAGAATACATACACCCAGGCCGGGCGTGGTGGCTCACGCCTGTAATCCCAGCACTTTGGGAGGCCAAGGCGGGCGGATCACGAGGTCAGGAGATCGAGACCATCCTGGCTAACACGGTGAAAGCCTGTCTCTACTAAAAATACAAAAAATTAGCTGGGCATGGTGGCGAGCACCTATAGTCCCAGCTACTTGGGAGGCTGAGGCAGGAGAATGGCGTGAACCTGGGAGGCGGAGCTTGCAGTGAGCCGAGACTGCGCCACTGCACTCCAGCCTGGGTGACAGAGTGAGACTCTGTCTCAAAAAAAAAAAAAAAAAAGAATATATACACCTCACTCCCCATTTTTGTGAGACCTGAGAAAGCAGTAAGGACAGTAATGACGATGAATAGTGACTTCTTTTTATTTCTACTATGCAGGCTCTGTGCTGGATATTTTGCCTGCCATGATTTATTTAATCCTGAACACAACCCCGTGAGGTAGAAATTAGCACCAGCTCACTTGGGTGAACTGAGTCTGTCTGACCTGCGTCTTTCAGCCATGTCTCTGAAACCTACTTTTTCTGCAGCACCCCCCACCCTGAACTAGGGTACTGTAGGCTCTAATTTCTTAATCGCCTCAGATCATCCACAAGTTCTGACACCTGAGATTGGAGCCCGTGGTCTTGCAGACAGATCCCCCCGGTAACCAAGGGCTTTCTCTTTAGCCTTCTTCCAATCACCTGCCAATTGCCTTCCCAATCCTGCTTGGACTGACTCTCAGATGCTACAGTGACACTGCTTCAGAGGAGTGACATATATATACATATAATTATATATAAAATAATATATAAAAATAGTATATATAAACAAGAAATATATAAAAATATATATTTCATTTACTTATTTATTTTTTGAGATGAAGTCTCGCTCTGTCACCCAGGCTGGAGTGCAATGGTGCAATCTCAGCTCACTGCAACCTCCGCCTTCTGGATTCAAGTGATTCTCCTGCCTCAGCCTCTCGAGTAGCTGGGACTACAGCCATGCGCCACCACGCCCAGCTAATTTTTGTAGTTTTAGTAGAGACGGGGTTTCACCATGTTGGCCAGGATGGTCTCGATCTCTTGACCTCATGATCTGCCCACCTTGTCCTCCCAAAGTGCTGGGATTATAGGCGTGAGCCAGTGTGCCCGGCCTATTTCTTTTATTTTTATTTTTATTTATTTTTATTTTTTTTAGACAGGGTGTTGCTCTGTCACCAAGGCTGGAGTGCAGTGATGCAAACATGCTCACTGCAGCCTCAACCTCCTGGGCTCAAATGAGCCTCCCACCTTGGCCTCTTGTGCAGCTGGGACTATAGGTGCGTGCCACCATGCCCAGCAAATTTTCATATTTTTAATTTTATGTAGAAACAGAGTCTCACTTTGTTGCCCAGCTGGTCTCAAACTCCTGGATTCAAGCCATCCTCCCACCTTGGCCTCCCAAAGTGCTGAGATTCAGGCATGAGCCACTGCACCTGGCCTCACAGGCTTATCTCTTGGCCTTATCATTTTCTCCAAGGTGAATGCCAAAGAAAATTGACTTTGCTATGCATTTGAGTCAGTGGCCTCTGCCTGTTCCTGTTGGTATGCCTGATTTCTGGCCTATCCTGGTTGAAGCTTGGGCTCTGTGATTATGAAAGAGAAGACTTTTCAGACACCAGACATATGATTGGATATTAAAATAGTGGCTAGACAGGATTTTATACCTGTAAGTGCTATAGCAAATGCTCCTTCTCTCCTGTCCTCACACACAAAAAAAGATAAATTATGGATCCTTATCCTTTGGAAGGCTGGAAGCTTATGTGTTAAAAGTGTAAATGTTAGCTGCGTGCAATGGCTCACTGTAATCCCAGCATTTAAAGGCCGAGGTGGGCGATAGCTTTGAGTTCAGGACTTTGAGACCAACCTGGGCAACATGGCAAAACCCTGTCTCTACAAAAAATACAAAAATTAGCTGGGCGTGTTGGCTACTTGGCCCCTATAGTCCCAGCTACTTGGAAGGCTCAGGTGGGAGGTTTGAGCCTGGGAAGCGGAGACTGTAGTGAGATCGCGCCACTGCACTCCAGCCTGGGTGACAGAGTGAGAGCTTGTTTCAAAAAAAAAAAAAATACACACACACACACACACACACACACACACACACACACACACACATATATATTTGGTGTTATAAATATTTTTAAAGTAACTTTTATGTTTTTTCGTTTTGTTTTTTTGAGACAGAGTCTTGCTCAGTCGCCCAGGCTGGAGTGCAGTGGCGCGATCTTGGCTCACTGCAAGCTCCGCCTCCTGGGTTCACACCATTCTCCTACCTCAGCCTCCCAAGTAGCTGGGACTACAGGCGTCCGCCACCACGCCCAGCTAATTTTTTGTGTATTTTTAGTAAAGATGGGGTTTCACCGTGTTAGCCAGGATGATCTCGGTCTCCTGACCTCGTGATCCACCCACCTCGGCCTCCCAAAGTGCTGGGATTACAGGCGTGAGCCACCGCGCCCGGCCTATGTTTTTCTAATTATAAAAATATGTGAGTTTTCTGTAGACAGCATGTAAATACAGAAAAATATCACCCAGAGTCCAATAATCCCTAAATGGAGAATCACTGGGAACAGTTTAGTGTATATAGTATGTTTAAGCTGTACATACACATAAACACAAAATTGTGAGCATTCTCAGTATGGTTTCATGTACTGCTATTTCATTTACTATTACCCTGCTAGCATTTCCCCTATCATCAAAATTCTTTGAAAATATGTTTATTAACTGTATAATATTTTATTTTATGAATGTACTGTGAATTATTTAATCCTCTTCAGAGACTCAGGTTGATTCTACTGATAATTGTGCTGCAACGAGCATACTGTGCGTTCATTTCTATGTGGAATTCTATGGCCTTAAAATAGAATCCTAGCAGTAGAATCACTGAGATAAAGGGTAAGAGTATCTAAAGCAGTGGCTAATGAAGTTTTAGTTTTAGGACCCTTTACATTCTTATGTGTTTTTTCTTTTTTTTCTTTTTTTTTGAGACTGAGTCTTGTTTTTTTTTCTTTTCTTTTTTTTGAGACTGAATCTTGCTCTATTGCCCAGGCTGGAGTGCAATGACACGATCTCAGCTCACTGCAATCTCCACCTTCCGGGTTCACGCCATTCTTGCGCCTCAGCCTCCCAAGTAGCTGAGATTACAGGTGCCCGCCACCATGGCGGGCTAATTTTCATATTTTTAGTAGAGACAGGGTTTTGCCATTCTTGGCCAGGCTGGTCTCAGGTGATCTGACCACCTCGGCCTCTCAAAGTGCTGCCCGGCCCTTTTTCATTCTCAACTATTGTTGAAGACCTAAAGAGATTTTGTTTATGTTGGTTACAGCTATCAGTATTCACTATATTAGAAATTTAAAATAAGAAATTAAAAAAATATTTATTACTTCATGTTAAAATAGCAATAAGGAACCCATTATTTTTGAATAAACAGAGGAATTAACGAGAGGTTGAAGTCAAGTATGCTAGTTTCCTGCAGAGGCCCAAAGAAATTCCCGTTTCTGGTGATTCCATTCACAGAGACTGAAAACAGAGGAGCAGGGGAGTGGGCAGGGGTGGGCCTTGGTGGAGACAGAGATGGGAAAGAGGGTGAGTCTGTAAGAGTCTGGCATTCCTCCTACAGGACACGTGGGCATTTTCAAGACTCCAGTCCACTAGGTGGATCTTCAAAGGCTTATGCCACATTCTTCCATAGCACACTTCTAAAATACCTGTTTTATAGGGTTTAAACTATCTGCTTTATAGGGACCAAGTGTGGTGGCTCACGCCCGTAATCCCAGCACTTTGGGAGGCCGAGGCAGATGGATCACAAGGTCAGGTGTTCGAGACCAGCCTGGCCAAGATGGCAAAACCCCGTCTCTACTAAAAATACAAAAATTAGCCGGGGCCAGATGCAGTGGCTAACGCCTGTAATCTCAGCACTTTGGGAGGCCAAGGCAGGCGGATCGCTTGAGGCCAGTAGTTCAAGACCAGCCTGGCCAACACAGTGAAACCCAGTCTCTACTAAAAATACAAAAATAAGCCAGGCGTGGTGGCGTGAACCTGTAATTCTAGCTACTCGGGATCCTGAAGCACGAGAATCGCTAGAATCCAGGAGGCAGAGGTTGCAGTGAGCCAAGATTGCACCACTGCACTCCAGCCTGGGCGACAGAGCAAGACTCTATTTCAAAAAAAAAAAAAATCTGCTTTATAGGGTCCTTTTACAAACTATTAGGCCACTTATCCTCAAAACCAAACAATGCAATAGGGTAGACAGATAGGAACTCGCAGGCTGTTCACAAGGAAACTGAGGCCCTGAGAGGTTATGTGACTTGTCAGTCTTCCCACCTCCCTTTTGCCCATCTTATAATAGACTCATGTCTGGAACTCAATTGTCCTGATTGCTAGCTCGTTGTGCCCAGTGACTCAAGAGAGTGAAAATTGTTGGTTCAGCAGTCTATCTTCTAAATTTGCTTCTTCTAAAAGTATTTAAAAGGTATAAGAAATATAAATTACTCCCTAGGCTGCTAGGCAGGCACCTGGTTTTCTCCTGGGGTAGTCAGAACCCTCCTATCTTTAATTTTTCACGGATGAATATACCAACAGTGAACAATGGCCAGACCATGGGGAATAGAACTGAGTCTCACAAACTTTGTAGCAACCAGCTGGGGAAGCCAAACCACTTGGCTTCCAACTCAGCACCGACCAGAGAAAGCCAAAGATGCTCCCCAGACTAATCACCGAAGATGCCCTGCTTCATTTTTTTTTTTTTTTTTTTTTTGAGACAGAGTTTCGCTTTGTCACCCAGGCTGGAGTGCAGTGGTGCGATCTTGGCTCACTGCAACCTCTGCCTCCCAGATTAAAGCAATTCTCCTGCCTCAGCCTCCCTAGCAGCTGGGACTACAGGCACGCACCACCATGCCCGGCTTATTTATTTATTTATTTATATTTTTAGCAGAGACGAGGTTTCCCTATGTTGGCCAGGCTGGCCTTGAACTCCTGACCTTGTGAGCTTCCCACCTCAGCCTCCCAAATTGCTGGGATTACAGGCGTGAGCCACCGCACCCAGCCTGCCCTGCTTCTAAGCAGTCCATCTCCCACTTCCTCGTGCCAATAAGCTCCAATCCAGATAAACCTGAAGCCTTCCCTTTTTGTCACTGTAAATTCTCTCACTCCTCTGCCTGCTTTGACCTTCTGCCAAAGTGATGGAAGCTGACTCCCATAGCATAGCAAGCTCTGAGTAAATAGCCCCTGTACTCATTTATTTCCACACCACTGAATGAATAATGAAAGATGTTATAAAGCCAAATTATGAAAAGGGCATCAGTTATTAAACATTTGTAAAATGTTTTACAACCATCTTAGTATGCCTCATAAACACCTCGTGAAGTGCTGCCATCCCCGTTTCAGAGCTGAGAAAATTGAGAAGGAACCATGAGATTAAGTGACTTGCCCAGAGCTATGATGAGAACATGAGCCCCCCAGGGTTTGAGGTCTGTTGTTTATCCACTGAGCTTGAGCTGCGCTTTGGAATCATTACCATCTTAAAGCATTTTACCCTGTGTTGGGTGAATATTAAGAAGTAGATCACATTTCAGCCTGGCAGGCGCGAAAGTATTGTTTTTAGTTTGTTTTTCTAAATTTTAGTAGAGGACATATGGGCTCTATTAACTTTACTATGTAGCACAATTTGAAAGATAGTTTCTTTTCCAGCAAATTTTTCACCGTAATTTAACATTTTAAAATTCAGCACACACCGTCCTCCCTGGATACTTGTTTTTCTCAGAGTTGGGCCTTTTTCCTCTCCACTGCAGCTTGGAAGGTCGTAAATCCAGCCAGGGGGATTTTATTATGCCTGGGGACAGTTTTCAAAGTTAGGTATGAGTGGAAGGAAGGGAGGGCGGGTGCAACAGCGCTGGACAAAGTCCGTCTAATGCAAGACTTTCCTTTCTTTTTTTTTTGTTTTTAAAGATAAGAACTTTTTTGGCTTTCTCCCCGCAAAGCTTGCTGATGATGTTGACTGATGAGGACATGAAAAAAGCTGAGATTTGCAGAACATAACTGGAGCATAAGAACGCCTGTCTGGAAGGCAGGGGCTGCTGGGAAAGGATCTCTCTGGAGCTCCTTGCTGGCTGCAAAAATGCAGCTGTCCCTATTCCTCTCTACTCTGGGACATTTAAAAAGGAGGCTGTGTGGCAGTAGCATTTGGCTTGTGTGCCACTGTACCTGGTCAGCCTGGCATGGAATGCCTTAGTGGTTTGTTAGGGGTCACTGACTGAGGCTAAATAAATTTAGCACCATGTATACTTTCATTAAATATTAAACAATGAGGCCAAGCACGGTGGCTCATGCCTGTAATCCCAGCACTTTGGGAGGCTGAGGTGGGAGGATCGCTTGTGGCCAGGAGTTTGAGACCAGCCTGGGCGACATAGCGAAACCCTGTCTCTACAAAAAATTTAAAAAATTAACTAGGCATGGTGATGCATACCTGTAGTCCCAGCTACTTGGGAGGCTGAGGCAGGAGGATCACTTGAACCCAGGAGGTCACGGCAGCATTGAGCTCTGATCATAGCACTGCCTCTGGCCTGGGCAACAGAGCAATACTCTGTCTCTAAAAGAGAAAAACAAACAAACAACAACAAAAAAAAACACAAAAAGACAATAACATTCAATTGTTTGCTAATGGTTCATCTGCCCAATCTCTGGAATCCTGTCTTTCACCTACTCACCTTCACTCACTTAGAAACTTATGCATTGGCTTCAAATACTATTTCTTCTATATTATCCTTTCACCTTTCTTCTTTAAAAAAAAATTTATTTAGAGACAGGGTCTTGCTAGGTTGCTCGGGCTGGCCTTGAACTCCTGGCCTTAAGTGATCCTCCCACCTCTGCCTTCCATCTTTTTATCTTCTTCAGCTTATGAAAATGGATCCATCTGCATTAAAGGCCTAAAAATGTATGTAGTCAGGTGAGTGTTGTGATAGTTGGTGTGATGGTTAATACTGAGTGTCAACTTGATTGGATTGAGGGATACAAAGTATGAATCCTGGGTGTGTCTGCGTGGCTATTGCCAAAAGAGATTAATATTGGAGTCAGTGGGCTGGGGAAGGCAGATCCACCCTTCATCTGGTGGGCACAATGTAATCAGCTGCCAGTGAATATAAGGCAGGCAGAAAAACACGAAAAGGAGAGAGACTGGCCTAGCCTCCCAGCCTACATCTTTCTCCCATGCTGGATGCTTCCTGCCCTCAAACGTCGGACTCCAGGTTCTTCAGTTTTGGGACTTGGACTGGATCTCCTTGCTCCTCAGCTTGCAGACAGCCTATTGTGGGACCTTGTGATTGTGGAGGTTAATACTTAATAAACTCCCCTTATGTCTGTCTGTCTATCTGTCTGTCTGTCTATCTATCTATCTATCTATCTATCTATCATAGGATATATATATATATCTATTTATATTAGTTCTGTCCCTCTAAGAGAACCCTGACTAACACAGTTGGTGAAGGTTTCCTTTTCTCCTCTGATGATGTGAGTGAAGCAGGCTTTCAGGGATTATGAGAACAGGCGAAGTCTTCAAGGAGATGGGCCCCTCAAACACAGCCTGCACATCCCATCCATCTCCCCATTCTCCTGGAAGCCATGCCTTGGAAGGCAGAGGGGATGCTGGAGGGATGCAGGTCTCAGGGCCTGAGAAGTTGAGGGTGGTTCTAGATAGAGTAGAGAATGAATGGGATAAGGGGCAGTAGAGGCCTGACCTCCGAGAGATCTCACCACTCCTAACTTTGACTATTCCTGTCTGGCTGCATTTGGGTTTCCTTTTGTCCCAAGAAAAGAAAGACGAAAAACCTTAGAGTGTTGGGAGTCTAGATATGTTAAAACTAACAGATGTTAGTTCATTGATCACCAAGACAATGCACGGGCCAGTAGGACTTCTCACAGCAAAAAAGCCAGGATGGAGAGGCGGAAGACCAGGTTGGGCAGATCCTTCAGCTTTCAGCTGTTTTTCTCATCCTTTATAGCACTGTAATTAGGACTAGATGAGGAAAAAAAGATGGGCATGAGCTGTAGCTACAGGGGGAAAACAATAAATGACTAACAGATAAAAAAAATGTAAGTGAAGTGCTAATATTCCAGTCATTTAAAATATTGCTGGGAAGACCAATTATCCGTGTAAAAAAGGTGAAAACAAATATAACATTGCTTAGGTAATTCTGTGGACCCTTGATACACAGTATTTGCATAAAATCAGAATTACAGAATTTAGTGTTTTGTGGTTTTTGTTTGTTTGTTTTTTGAGACACCTGGGTCCGGGGAGGTGGAGGCTGCAGTGAGCTGTCATGCCACTGCACTCCAGCCTGCACAACAGAGTGATGAAAGAAAGGAAGGGAGGGAGGGAGGGAGGGAGGGGGAGGGGAGGGGAGGGGAAGGGGAAGGGAGAAGGGAGGGGGAGGGGAGGAGAGGGGGAGGGGAGGGGAGGGGGAGGGGAGGAGGGGGGGGAGGGGGGAGGGGAGGAGAGGGGGAGGGGAGGGGGGAGGGAGGGGAGGGAGAAAGAAAGGAAGGGAGGGAGGAGGAGGGGAGGGGGAGGGGAGGGGGAGGGGAGGGGAGGGGGAGGGGAGGGGGAGGGGAAGGGAGGGGGATGGGAGGGGAGAGGAGGGGGAGGGGAGCGGGATGGGAGGGGAGGGGGGAGGGAGGGGAGGGAAGGGAGAAAGGAAGGAAGGAAGGAAGGGAGAGAAAGCAAGGGAAAGAAGGAAAGAAAGAAAGGGAAAATAATCAAAAATATAAGAACACAAACAAAAGCACATTCTGTCAGCTCATCCTCTCTATAGGCTAAGGAAACTATACTATCTGAACCCAAAGGAGAGAAATAAACAAAATCAAATACTTATCTACCCATCCCTCTGCACACGGTCTTAGTTGAAGTGAGAGTATACACTTCATTACTGTGTACCTGGATTTTATCCCATTCTGCTACAAAATGCACGTCAGTGCGTTCACTTTCACTGCATGATATAGAAGCTGTTCTGTATGCAGCCAAATCACATTACTGCCCATTGCTGAAAGAAATGACCTTCAATGAACGGGTTATAAAATTCACTCATGATCACTTATTGAATGCCTATGTGCCAGACACACTGTTAAGCATGATGGAATCAGAGAAATGTTGCTGTCTAACGTATCCCAGTCTAGTGGGGTAATATATAACCTGATACATTATGATTCCATGGAAGTGTTTCACTAATGGTATAAATCACGAGCTGTGTCAGAAACCCAGGAGGAATTGATACGTCTCCCGGGAGAGTGTGGGGAGACTCTGGTGGAGGTGACGTGTGATCGTGGTCTTGAAGGATGAGCGGAAATTTGCCAAGTGAACAAGGGGGAAAGGAATTTACAAGTAGAGGGAAGAGGATGGCTCGTCAAAGTGTCTGGCAATACTGAGAAATGTTGAAAAGGGTGGTGTAGCTACAGCCCAGGTTTCACGGGACAGAGGTAGCTGCAGTGTGGTTAGGTTGGGGCTAGTGCATGGGGAGCCTTGGTACACCTGCCACGTGCAACTGGTAATCATCCCTAGAGGTACTGGGAGCACAGAGTGTCATGCGTGGAGTTACATGTACTGTGTGCTGTGCTTTTAATGTAACTTGAAGTCGTAAGGAGGGAATATATGATGTGGGAGCAGAGCAAGGAGAAGCAAGTTAGGGAGACCAAACAGGAGGCAGCAGTGGGGACGGCTGACTTTGAGAGGCGTCTTTGAAAGACAATAGGTAATATTTGGTAGACATTGGATGTGGAGGCTGAGGCAGCAGGAGAAACAGAGTATGACTTTGAAGTTGCTCAATACAGGAGATACTGGGTGGCTGGCGGTACTATTAACCCAGATGACAGGACACGGAAACAGGATGGGTTCTCTGCTCCGGCGTGTCCCTGAGGAGTCACTCTTAACTTTGGTACAGGTGATCAGCAACTGGGAAAGTGTATGAAGCCCACTCCAGAATGAGACCACTGACCTCTTCATTTCCATGCTTTCGGCTCAAGGTATCATTCGGCTCAACACCATTTAAAAGCTATCTAGGCTGGGTGTAGTGGCTCACACCTGTAATCCCAGCACTTTGGGAGGCCGAGGCGGGTGGATCACTTGAGGTCAGGAGTTCAAGACCAGCCTGGCCAACATGGTGAAACCCCATCTCTACAAAAAAATTAAAAAATTAGCTGGGTGTGGTGGTGGGTGCCTGTAATCCCAGCTACTTGGGAGTCTGAGGCAGGAGAATTGCTTGAACCCGGGAGGCAGAGGTTGCAGTGAGCTGAGATCGTGCCACTGCACTCCAGCCTGGGTGACAGAGCAAGATGCCGTCTAAAAACCAAAATAAAAAGCTATCTAGGGGCAGGCTTATGCCTGTAATCTCGACACTTTGGGAGGCTGAGGCGGGCAGATCACCTGAGGTCTGGAGTTCAAGACCAGCCTGGCCAACATGGTGAAACCCCATCTCCTTTACTAAAAATACAAAATTAGCTGGCCATGGTAGTGCACACCCATAATCCCAGCTACTCAGGAGGCTGAGGCAGGAGAATCGCTTGAACCCAGGAGCAGAGGTTGCAATGAGCCAAGATCATGCCATTGCACTCCAGCCTGGGCGACAAGAGAAAACTCTGTCTCTAAATAAATAAATAAAAATAAAAGCTATTTAGGGCCAGGCATGGTGGCTCATGCCTGTAATCCCAGCACTTCAGAAGGCTGAAATGGGCAGATTGCTTGAGTCCAGGGGTTTGAGACCAGCCTGGCCAACATGGCAAAACCCTGTATCTACAAAAATACAAAAATTAGCTGGGCGTGGTGGCACATGCCTGTAGTCCCAGCTACTTGGGGGGCTGAGGCAGGAGGATTACTTGAGCCCGAGAGTTGGAGGCTGCAGTAAGCTGTGTTTGCGCCACTACACTCCAGCCTGGGTGACAAAGCAAAATTGTCTCAAACAACAACAACAAAAACAACAACAAAAAGCTTTCTAGAACATTTCCAATCTAGTGCAAACCTCTTTTTGGTTACACCGTGTATCATTCCAGTTATAAGAATGTAAAAAGTGGCAACTCCGGAGCCAGGCTATCTGGGCAAGTGACCTCTGGAAAGGCCCTTAAACTTCGCTGTGTCTCAGTTTCCTTATCTACAGAATAAGGATTAAAATTATTCAAAAGGTTGTTGTGGAATTGAAATGAGTTAGTATATGTAAAAGTGAATCTGGCGCATAGTGTAAGTACTTTCTTTTGTGGAGTCTTGCTCTGTCGCTCAGGCTGGAGTGCAGGGGTGCAATCTTGGCTCACTACAAACTCTGCCCCCGCCACGCCCAGCTAATTTTTGTATTTTTAGTAGAGATGGGGTTTCGTCATGTTGGCCAGGCTGGTTTCGAACTCCTGACCTCAGGTGATCCACCCGCCTCGGCCTCCCAAAGTGCTGGGATTACAGGCGTGAGCCACTGTGCCCGGCCCATAGTGTAAGTACTTTCTAAGTGTTTGCTATCAATAAGTAATAAATCATAGAATACTCGACTGAAAGTGGTACAAATATTAGAGATTTATTATTACAGAACAAGATGGAAGTTGGCAGTTCCAGGGTTTGTCCTGTCAATTAACCAAGGCATCCCGGAGACTGGACTCTTCCTGTACCCACTGCCACGCTCAGTGTGGCAGTGCCTTCTCCCCTCATCATGGCAGGGAGGCCACCACAGCTCCAACAACCAAGTCTTCACATGGTCAGCATCCCAAGCATGAAATAAGGGGATGTGGTTAGAAAGGGCTTTTCTCCTTGTGCAGCCTTCCCTTTACAAGCAAGAAAATCTCTCCTAGAAGTCCCTAGTAGGTTTCCTTTCAGCTAAAACTTGGGTCACAGGCCCATCCCTGAACCTGGCACTTCCAACCTGTAACAAATGAGGCAGAAGTGGGACTAGGGCTGGCTGCTGGGCAGCTGACCGGTAGTGCCCACCACAGTCTGGGAGCCAAAGAGTTCCAAAAGTTCCTCACTCAGGCCAGGGGTAATTGAGAAACAGGCACATAACAGTATTCATCCAGGAGTCCTCAGGTTTTTTAAGAGTTTTTTAGTTTTTTTTTTGTTGTTGTTGTTTTGTTTTTTTTTTTGAGATGGGCTCTCGTTCTGTCGCCCAGGCTGGAGTGCAGTGGCGTGATCATGGCTCACTGCAGCCTCGACCTCCTGGGCTCAAGTGATCCTCCCACCTCAGTCTCCCAAAGGGCTGAGATTACAGATGTGAGCCACTATGTGCCTGGCTAAGAGTAGCTTATTTTTATTTTATTTTATTTTATTTTTTTGAGATAGAGTCTTGCTCTGTCGCCTAGGCTGGAGTGCAATGGAGCGATCTTGGCTCACTGCAACCGCCCCCTCCCGGCCTCAAGCAATTATCCTACCTCAGCCTCCCAAGTAGCTGGGATTACAGGTGTCTGCCACCATGCCTGGCTAATTTTTGTATTTCTGTAGAGATGGGGTTTCACCATGTTGGCCAGGCTGGTCTAGAACTCCTGACCTCAGGTGATCCACCCACCTTGGACTCCCAAAGTGCTGGGATTACAGGCGTGAGCCACCACGCCTGGCCAAGAGTAGCTTTTTAACCTAGGTCAGTATCGTGTTGGTAAAATACGGAGAGAGGATGTTTGAGCAGAAGGACCTACCTCATCTTCTCACCTGTTCTAGGCTGCTACCTTCTCTTTCTACAAACCAAAGGAGGGGGCTCATAACTCAATGGGCCTTGTGGGAAAGGCTAACCAGACTAGTCACTGCTGAATTCCTCTAAGGGATTCCCCTACCCTGACTGCCCTTGCCACAGTTGCACCCACCATCCTAGGGGCAGTAAGTAGAGAGAGCTGTGTGAGAAGAGCACTCTTTCCACTCCAGATGTCCCCTACAACCTATATCCTCACGGCCACTAACAGTTTGGGCCCGTAGCATCACTCATCTGGACCGCTCCCATGTGGTCTCCCCATCACAACAAAGACTGCAGCAAGGTGGACAGAGAACTCCAAGAGAGCCAGGAAAATACCTTTATAAACCATCACAGAAAGCCTGATTTCCACTCGCTAAATCCATTAATAAAGAGAGGAGAAATTTTAAAATTCCAAGGCACCTGGTTACTAATCTGATTCTGGCCTACATGTGGATATTCAATAAATACTTGTTAAGTTAAATTGACTCAAGGTTTTATTTATTCAGCCTACTTAAAGCTTATGTAAACCCCTTGGAGATTTGTGTCAAGCTGTTAAGTTGGAAAATATAAGAAAAGTAGTATTTTCAATAGACCAGCTTTCCTCTTAATGTACTTTATGAACTTAGTGTAAACCAGGGAAATGGGGGAGGGGTACCAGAAGAGCAGAGGGGAAGGAGGTGAGGAGGAAGGAAGAGGTGAGGAGGAAGGAGAAGAAAAGCCTTTTCTGTCATTTCCTGCATTTGTCTTAATTGCTGTACTTATTAACCAGCTACTGCCCTCTAGTGCTCACTGTATTAAGTTCGCATCTGAATTCCATTTTTATCTTTAAAAACTCTGGTGACACTTGGAAGGGATCAAATTTCCTGTTTTGCAGATAAGCAAATTGAAGTCCAGAGGAAAGAGGTATCAAACTGACCCAGGGGACTTCTGGACTCTTTGTTACCTCACCTATAACTTGTCTGGAAAACTTTATTAAAAGCCTTTCTCAGAAATTTTAATTGGTAACCAGTAAAAATTGTAGCATCATGTTAGTGCTAGTTATTATTATTATTATTTTTGAGACGGAGTCTGGCTCTGTTGCCCAGGCTGGAGCGCAATGGTGCAATCTGGCTCACCGCAACCTCCGCCTCCTGGATTCAAACTACTCTCCTGCCTCAGCCTCCCAAGTAGCTGGAACTACAGGCGCCCGCCACCACGCCCGGCTAATTTTTTGTATTTTTAGTAGAGGCGGGGTTTCACCGTGTTAGCCAGGATGGTCTCGATCTCCTGACCTCGTGATTTGCCCATCTCGGCCTCCCAAAGTGCTGGGATTACAGGCGTGAGCCACCGCGCCTGGCCTGTGCTAGTTATTATTTCCAATGTTGTTCTAAATTAAGCTTAGACTGATTGCTGGTCAATTTAAGTAAGGATATAAAATAATAGTGGTACATTTTTAACTTAGTACAAGTTTAGAAAATGTCTATAATACTTCTTTAAAAAGTTAACTAGAGGCCGGGCACGGTGGCTCACGCCTGTAATCCCAGCACTTTGGGAGGCCGAGGCGGGCGGATCACAAGGTCAGGAGATCGAGACCATCCTGACTAACACAGTGAAACCCCGTCTTTACTAAAAATATAAAAAATTAGCTGGGCGTGTTGGCGGGCGCCTGTAGTCCCAGCTACTTGGGAGGCTGAGGCAGGAGAATGGCGGGAACCCAGGAGGCGGAGCTGGCAGTGAGCCGAGATCGCGCCACTGCACTCTAGCCTGGGTGACAGAGCAAGACTCTGTCACACACACACACACACACACACACACACACACACACACACAAGTTAACTAGAACAGATCCCAAGTGGATATGGCCATTTATCAGAACTGACTTATCATTGTCTCCATGTGGGCTAACATTCCGCTAGATTCTCCCAAGTGAAGCTCTTTGCTCACTGATGGGAAAAAGGGGGGGTTGTCATTTTAACGTGGAACGCATATTTTCACCACATAATCATTTTGCTAGTGGAAATAAATGGAAAGTTATCCAGCTGGACATGCTACTTATGAGAACACTACTGAGTAACAAAAGATTTATTCAAATATTTAATTGGAAGGAACTACATCTGGAATAAGTTTTAAAGGAATCCATATAAAAAGAAAAGCAAATCCATTAGAAATTGATATAAACAGTTGATTTTATCTGGAACCAAGAATGTGAATGAATTGGAACCTAGATGTCCTAACCTGTTTCTTTGCATAAAAGCCAGTTGAATTTTGAAATTTATATGGCAATTATACTTTATTACTTTACATAGAGCTTTGTTTTTAGCTAATATTTTAGAGACAGATTACCCAAAATTACCTAATTTGGTTCCCACTTCATTCCTTCTCAAAAACCAAACATAAAACAGAAGGGGGCCAGCTGTGGTGGCTCATGCCTGTAATCCCAGCACTTTGGGAGGCCGAGGAGGGTGGATCACTAGGTCAGGAGTTTGAGACCAGCCTGACCAACATGGTGAAACCCCGTCTCTACTAAAAATACAAAAATCACCCAGGTGTGGTGGCACATGCCTGTAATCCCAGATACTTAGGAGGCTGAGGCAGGAGAATCGCTTGAACCCAGGAGACGGAGGTTGCGGTGAGAGCCGAGATCGTGCTACTGCACTCCAGCCTGGGCAACAAAGCAAGACTCTGTCTCCAAAAAAAAAAAAGGAAAGCAGAAGGGGGCATTTTCCTGTCTTCAAAATACAACCTCCTGCTAAGACTAGCAAGTCAGCAGAAACTCATTGCATTTGGGCTTCTGGTTACTAAATGAATTAAGAGACACCGAGTTCCATCCTTAGATGTCCACATAGATCCCATTGATCAAATAATCCAGTCTTGAGTAACGTTTCCTGCGGAGTGATTCCGAGAGGATTCTACCCAGGAGGACGAGGCCTATCACCAGGAACAGGACACCAAAGAGCAGGGACCCGATAAGAAGCCATTTTTCAAATGGAAGGCCGTACTGATTTTCTGGAACACTGCCCTGGGAGGAACTGCCTGGACTGGCCTCCCTACCTTCCCAGGAAGCAGTTTTATTCATAGTGGAAGACTCCACATTTGACATAGAAAGTGCAGTAGGGTTATACACATTCCCTGTGTTCAAAGTTAGGTTGGAGATTTCTGTAAACGGTATGGTTTCTAAGCTGCCTTTCGAGTCCGTAGGTGCCTGAAAGGTGGTAGTCAGAACTGCTGTTGTAGCCATTGCTTGGAGTGTAGCCGCAGCCCGTGTAAAAACTGTAGAAATGAGGGTCGTGGGAGGCTGAGAAGTGACAGTGGTTACAGGTGGAGCTGTGGTGGCCAGCTGTGGCTGGGAAGTCCCAGAAGGTGTCACTGAAGCATTGGTGGGTAGAAGGGTGGCGGGCTTTGGAGTAGCCGAGGTGGTATGTGGAGAAGCAACTGCCACCGTAGCTGGGAGCGCACTCACATTTTCAGGCAGCAGATGAGCTATTTCTTGATCAGAGGAAAATTGTGAACTCTGAGAATGGCCTTTTTCCTTATAAGCAAGGAGCTGGGCACTTGCTTCATCCATCTTAAATAGTTTCTCCAAGTGATCTGAGGATCCAAACTTCTGAGAAAGTGTGTCTCTCCATGAGATATCGGTGGGCTTTGAATAATCTGTGTGATGATGGGCTAGGGGAGTGACTGCTTGTGAAAATTGGCCATGTAAGAGAGAATCTTCCTGGGGTAACTCTTGGCTTGGCAAATTTCTGGTCAAAGATGGAAAATCTGAAAATGTATGGAAAATAAAAGGAAGGCTTATGTAACTCCAT